>NC_000001.11:53796259-53947774 GCF_000001405.40 Homo sapiens | reverse complement strand
GTGGGGATAAGATTAAAAAACAAAAGCAAACAAAAAAACAGTGCACATCTGGGGAAAGAGCTAGTGGGAACACAGCCAGGACATTTACAACGAGGCCTCCCTTCTTCCCTCAGCCAGGCCCAAAATGAGCTACATCCATATACCAGGAGAACATCTGCCAACCCATGGCCTTCATCCCAAGGCTGCAGACACTTTTGGTTTATCTGAAAATGCAGTATTCTTGGGAAAATTTCTAACATAAAAACCTAAACAGAAACTAAACTATGGGTAGTTCTAAACCACCAATAACCAACAATCCACCTTCATTGTTCTGTGTGTCCCCATTCTTCAATTTTCAACTTTCCTCACTACTTTTTTCCTATAATATGCACTTTCCTACCTGCCTTCTCACCCATACCCTTTCAGGCTCCCTACTTCCCTCCAAGAACATGCCAGTCTCTCCCACAACGTGACACTCTTACCAATTCTAGCGCTTCTCACACCAAAAATCCTAACCCCACTCCCTTCGCCCACCCCAGCTCTCCTGCCCCTTTCAACCTTCAGACCCTTCCAGCCCTTCCGAGCCCCTGGTGAAAGGTGGCTTGCTGTCCCACAGACCCAACCTTCCAACCTCCGATCTCCCAACCTTCACCTGCCTCCCCTTCCTTCCCCACACTCCTCCACCCCCCACTCCTCTCCTTCACCATCTATTCTTCCCTTCTTCCCACTCTAGGGGCTTCCCTCTCCTAGGACCCCAATCTCTCCATCCCTTTCCTTGCCTTCTGTTCTCAATCTTCAAGACCCTCTTCCTTCACGCCTCACTATCCCCAACTTGGCATTCCACACCCCCAACTTTTCTTCCCTGCCCCCAAGACCCCACCCTCTCTATTCCTATCCTATCTCGTTTCCTCCTTGAACCCCTAAAATCCCATTCCCTTCCCCCTTCCTTCTTCCCGCTCTCTCCCCAAGCATGCCTCTCCCCGAGTCCACCCAGGCTAATCCTGCTCCCTGTCCCACCCAGGCCCCGAACCCCAATTCTCACACGTCCCCATAGCCTGCCCCCGCACCCCTACGCCACCCTTAAACCCATCGCCCCCACCAGTATACCTCATCCTCCCCTCAACCCGCGCCCCGCCGTCCCTCTGGGGCGTCCCCTCCCCCACCCCGCCCCTCCCTAACACCCCGCCCCCGCTCCCACACGCAACCCGGGGCCCCGCGAGCGGCCCGGCCCGCGGCCGCCACCTACCTGTGCCCCTGCCCGGGGCAGCGAGCGGCAGCTCCTCGGTGACGGCTCCCTCCTCCCGCGGCCCGGCTGACGGGGAAGGGCTCAGCACCCCGGGCACAAAGCTAGGAAGGGTGGGACACAGTGAAGGTGGGAGGAGGGAGGGGGCTGGGGGCAACCAGGCGCCGTGGGACCGCGGGACCGGCGGGGGCGGGAGCAAGGCTGGGCCGGGGAGGCGCGCGTGCGCGGGCCCCGGCACGAAGGCGGGGCCGGACCTGGAGGCGGGGCCAGGCCCAGGGCAGGCGACCCGAGGGCCGAGGGTTTGGAACTCGCAGAGGTGGGCCCTGCGCGTGCGTGCTCGCGGGAGGGTGGGTCCCCTGGGTCCTGCGGGCCCCGGGGATAGAGCTGAGCTGGGGGAGGGTAGGCAGCGCGCGCCCCGGGACTGGCCTGGGGAAAGGCGCACAGGAGTGGTTTCGCATCTTGGCCCGCGAAGTAATGGGAGCCGGAGAGGGCGGGGCCGATTGTGGGCGGGGCCTGTGGGAGGCGTGGCGCTAAGAGCTAGGGGTAGGAGGGGCCGAGGCCGCCGCGAGGGGGCGGGGCTGAGGCGGGGTGGGGCCTCTGGGAGGCGTGGCGCGAAAAGCTCGGGGTAGGAGCGAGCGCGCCCGGGAACTCGGTGGAGCGAGCGCGCCCGGGAACTCGGTGGAGGCCGCGGTGGCGGGGTGGGGCGGGGCTGAGGGCAGGGCGGGGCCTGTGGGAGTCGTGGCGCAAAGAGCTCGGGGTAGGAGCGCGCGCCCGGAAACTCAGCGGTGGCCGCGGCGAAGGGGCGGGGCTGAGGGTGGGACGGGGCTTGTGGGAGGCGTGGCGCGAAGATTTCAGAGTTGGAGCGCGCGCGACCCCGGACTCCACGGAGGCCGCGGCGAGCAGGCGGAGCTGCGGGTCGGGACGCTCTGCGTGGGGCGGGGCGCAAGGGAGGTTTCGAGCCCGGAAGGTCCGGCGCCCAGAGCTAACGGGAGTCCCAGGTGAGCGGGTAGCGGGGTAGGCAGGCTGGCACCAGAGGGTATGGGGGCCTGGCCGGGCAAGGCAGAAGGACGGGGATGTTGGTGGGAAGGGAGCAACAGTGGAGGGGTGGTGAAGAGACGCGCGGCGGGAGGCGTGGAAGGGCCGCGGCGGGAGGTCTGACGCGGGCCCGCCTTTTCCTCTAGACCCTGGAAGCGCCACTACCAGCCCACGAAACTCTTTGAGGCCAGAAATAGCGTCTTGACCCCCCAAAAGGGAAAACCAGTTGTAAATCGAAATTAATTAGTCTACCAAAATGTAATGTAAGCTGTCAGCCGCAACGTAACACATCTAGCTATAAATTGTACCTAAGGTCGGGGGCATTTATATATTCTTTACATAATTTGGGGCGGGCCTCCACAAGTCTGAGGCTTTAGGGCCTTGAACTGAGGAGGAGGGTTTGGGATGGAGGTGAGAAGGTGGTGCCAGGGCTGGTTTGCCTTGGAAGCCGTGGCCCTGGCCCCTCGGAGACAGAAGCCTTAGGCCGGGTCCGTGTTTTCTAAAGTACACCACGTTCCCAATGGATGATGCTTGAAGAAAGAGCGTGAGGAGTCCAGCTGTAGCACCAGAACCAAGGGAGCTGGTCAGGGAGAAGGTCCTCTAAGGACTTGACCTGAAGAGGTTTGGGGAAAGAAGGACCACAAAGGGCATGTGAGCTAGCGATGAAAGGGTGAACTGGGGACGAAACCAGTGGCACTGGTTTAGAAGACAGGATAAGGCATCAGGGAATACCAGGGTCAGGGATTGTAAAAAATGGAAAGGATAGCACCCCAGAGTGTACCACCTTTGGTAAACTGCGGCCCTGAGGAAATTGCCTTGCTCTAAAGGGGTGGGGGATTAGACTACCTCCCAAACCTGCACTTTGTTTTGTTTTTTGGAGACATAATCGCTCGTCGCCCACGCTGGAGTGCAGTGGCGCGGTCTCGCCTCACTGAGCCTCCGCTTCCTGGGTTCAGGAGCTTCTCCTGCCTCAGCCTCCGGAGTAGCTGGGATTACAGGCACCTGCCACCACACCCAGCTAATTTTTATATTTTTAGTAGAGACGAGGTTTCACCATGTTGGTCAGGCTGGTCTTGAACCGCTGGCCTCAAGTGATCCGCCTGCCTGGGCCTCCCAAAGTGCTGGGATTACAGGCGCCTGCCACCAGGTCCGGCTAATTTTTGAATTTTTAGTAGAGAGGGTTTTGGGGTTTCACCATGTTGCCCAGGCTGGTCTTGAACTTGTGAGCTCAAGCTGTTCGCCCACCTCGGCCTTCCAAAGTGTCAGGATTACAGGCGAGTCACCAGGCCTGGCATTGTATGGATTTCTCTAAGGTTGGTTGCCTCTTCTCATTAACTGCAACAAAGAACCTTAAAGAAAACCAAGTCTCTGCCGTTTCTACTTAAGTAATTCTACCCAAAACAGGAAATAGGAAGGGTAATGGTGAATATAGAAGGTGTGAAATGAGTTTTGTATTAAAGCATGTGTTTGCTTCTCTCAGAAAACTTAAGAATGTGAGGTAAGAAAAGAACTGAACATTTGGAGAGTACATTCTTTCCTATTCATCTGCTCCATATCAACCCTAAAGTGTAACTCTCTTTTAAAAAACAAGTTATCCGCCGGACACAGTGACTAGCTTCTGTAATCCCAGCACTTTAGGTGGCCAAGGCAGGCGGATCGCTTGAGCTCACGAGTTAGAGACCAGACTGGGCAACATGGCAAAACCCCATCTCTACAAAACAAAAAAATTAGCCGGCCGTGGTGGTGCATGCCTGTAGTCCCAGCTACTAGGAAGGCTGAGGTGGGAGGATCGCTTGAGCCCGGGAGGCAGACGTTGCAGTTAGCCGAGATCGAGTCATTGCACTCCAGCCTGGGCCATAGAGCCCAGACCTTGCCTCAAAAAAAAAAAGTTCTCTCCCTACATCTCCAACCCTCACATTTCCACCGCCAAATAGATTACTGCATAGTTTCCCCAGCTTTACACTATTTATACTTGGGACCAATAATTACTTGAGGATGTGCTGTCCCGTATATGATGGTATATTTAGCAGCGTTCCCTCCCAAGTTGTGACAGTTAAAACTTCAGATGTTTTGAAGTGTCCCTTGGAGGCCAAAATCTACACCCAGTCCAGTTGAGAACCACTGGAGTACAGGATAAAGTTCATTGCCATTAACCTGGCTTTTCAGATCTTTCATTATCTATTCCCAATCTACCTTTCCTAAAATCTGACTCAGCCTAAGAGAACTACCAATGCAGGAATCCTTTCTTTGGCTTCCTTCGTAGATTTCTTTGCCTTCTTCCATAGATTATGATCTCTTACCGACTTTTCTTGGACGTTTTCAGGGATGAAAGAAATTTAAAATCTTTACTTTGAACGAAAGTCCTTGTCTCTCCAAAGTCTTCCTGCTTAAAATGTGCATTTGTTGAGTCCAGTTCACGCCCCAGGAGGTGTAAAAAAAAAGAAATTTAAATCCTTTTTCCATTTGTGAGCACCACTGAGAGTAAAAATTATAGTCGCATTTCTATTTTTCACCTTTTTCTATGTAATATGGTTTATAGATCATCATGAACTTTTTACTCTCCTCCGAACAATATCACGCCTGACAATGTCCTACTTAAAACGTAGTACCCAGAACTGAACACAGTATTCTGGATGTGCGTCACATGATGTTAGCACATAGCATATTGTACTGTTAGTTTCATGCTTATTCATCTTCCTTGACTCTGAGCTTGAAGGCAAGAACCAAGTCTTAGTCACTTAGGTTGTTTTATTCATCTTTGCACTACTAGCACAGTGGTTGGCCCTTTGTTCAATTGGTGTTCAAAAATGTTGATGGAATGTGGTACTTCCTTAACTCTAAGATAGCATTCCATTACCTTTAGGGGCAGATAGAGTACACTGTTACCTTATATTGACTTTGTGGTCAACCAAACCTATATGTTTTATCAGATCAGAGGTTGGCAAACTTTTTTGTAAAGGGCCAAATAGTAAATATTTCAGGTTTTATGGGCCTTATGGTCTTTCACAGTGACTCAGCTATGTCACTGTAACATATAATCAGCCATAGGCAATATATAAGTGAATGAGCATAGCCACTTTCCAATATAATTCATGGACGTTAAAATCTGAGTTTCATGTAATTTTTGTGTGTCACAGAATATTTTGATTTTTAAAAATATTTTAAAATGTTAAACGCATTTTTAGCTTGTGGGCCATACAAAAACAGATGGCAGGCTAGATATGGCTCACAGGCAGTAGTTTGCTAACCCCTGATTTAGACCAACCCTTGTATGATGGATTTTTTTCAAAACTGAGTATAGGTTTTTACTTTTATCCTTATTAAATATCTTACTCATTGCAAGTCGTCTTTCTAGCTTGCTCATTTCTTTTTGAATGCTAATTCTGTCACCTAGCATATCAGCTGACATCCCAGCTTTGTGTCTGCAAAATTGATAAGCATACTTTGTGCATCCTTAATTAATAAAAATGTTGAGTAGGATAAGGATAGAAGTCCTCCACAAGTTCATTTTCTTCCATTAATCATCATTCTTTGAGTATAGCCACTCAGAGTTAGAAATATCTACCTAGAGTACTAGCTATCACCCAATTCATATTTCTCTGTCGGGTCCACAGGGTATCTTGAGAAGCTTTGTCTGAAGCTTTGTTGAAATCTTTAGAACATGTTCCAGATGGGTAGGAATTCCATCAGACAAACCGAAATATATAGGTTTGGTATAGCTTGTAAACTAATGTTACTGCTACTTCCAATTTTAGTACTTCCTTGGTTACATTTTCAAGGTTACCATTTTAATAATGAAATTTAATAATTTTAGGATTTTGTCGAGAATTAGCATTCAAGTTTATCAATCTGTATTTACAGAATTCACCATCTTTCTCCTCTTAAAACTAAGGCTTGACAATGTTCATCCCACACTGACTGGTTCTCTGGTATCAATAGTGTCGAAAACTGTGGTAAGATTGGTAGAGAAAAAAGGCACAAAAAATTAAAATATATGTTTTTATTTCTTACCAATGTTACCACACTTTTAATACTATCAATACTAGTTTTTAAAATATAATAGAAAGTGAACTTTATGCTAATAAACAAAAACTAAGAAGAAATGCATTTTTATAAAATATTGATATTGGCCGGGCACAGTGGTGCATGCCTTTAATCCCAGCACTTTGAAAGGCTGAGGCAGGAGGATCACTTGAGGCCAGGAGTTTTAAGACTAGCCTGTGCAAGCCGGGCGCGGTGGCTCACACCTGTAATCCCAGCACTTTGGGAGGCTGAGGTGGGTGGATCACAAGGTCAGGAGTTTGAGACCAGCCAGGCCAACATGGTGAAACCCCGTCTCTACTAAAAATACAAAAATTAGCTGGGCGTGGTGGCTGTTGCCTGTAATCCCAGCTATTCAGGAGGCTGAGGCAGGAGAATTGCTTGAAACCGGAAGGCAGAGGTTGCAGTGAGCCAAGATCGCCCCATTGCACTCCAGCCTGGGCAACAAGACTGAGACTCCATCTCAAAAAAAAGATAGCCTGTGCAGCATAGCAAGACCCCATCTCTACAGAAAAAAAAAAATTTTTTTTTGGCCTCCCAAAGTTCTGGGATTACATGCATAAGCCACCACACCTGGCCTCTACAGAGAATTTTTTTAAAAATTAGCTGGGCATAGTGGCATACCTGTAGTCTCAGCTACTTGGGAGGCTAAGGTGGGAGGATCACTTGAGCCCTGGAGTTCAGGGCTGCAGTGAGCCATGATTGCTCCACTGCACTCCAGCCTTGGTGTCAGAGTGAGACCCTATTTCTAAAAAACTAAAACATAAAATAATGAAAATTTTTAAAAATTTTAAGAAAAGTAGGGAAATTTACCTTGCCAGACATTAAGACTTTATACCTTATTCTGTCATTTTGCTTTTAGTCTGTATCTTTATATTTAGAATGTATCTCTGGAAAACAGTATTTAGTTGTTTTTTTAATTTAATAATTGAATGTTTATTAACACTCAATGGAATAATTGATGTATTTTTGCTTAAATCTGTGTTCTTGCTATTTGTTTTCTATTTGTCCCATTTTTCTTTATTCTTTTGTTTCTCTTTTTCTGCCTTCTTTCAAATTAATCGAGTATTTTTATGGTATTCCATGTTGTTCTCCTCGGTTGACCTTCTTCCTGTACCTCTGTGTTTTTGTTTTTTTGTTTGGCTAGGGTAGTCAGGGACTTATTTTGTGAAGCAGAGTAGCAGAAATAGTCATGTCTTATAGATTATCCCTGGGAGAGGTTTCTTACCTAAACAAACATGTTAGAGTCCCTCCCACATGTTGAATAGCTTGGGTGTTAAACCATCTGCTAGGCAACAGCCTTTCCTTCTCACTTCGTTTTCTCAGATAAAGTTTAGAGAATCAAGAAGTTGCTTTTTTTGTTATTTTTTAATTTGCAGGTTAAACACTTTAAGATGAGAAAAATTGATCTCTGTCTGAGCTCTGAAGGGTCCGAAGTGATTTTAGCTACATCAAGTGATGAAAAACACCCACCTGAAAATATCATTGATGGGTAAGAGTTACTATACTTTGTTGTTTACAGTCTTAAATCGGTGAATCCCTTGAGTACTTGGACTGTGTTTTATAACAACTTGCCCTATTAAACATAGTTTAATAAATGTTTGGTGGATTACCTGATATCCACTTTTGGTACCATTTCTGAAACTAATTGAGTTGTGTATATTTAGGTTTTTGATCCTTTTCTTTATAATGCCTAAACTGAACTCTTGATACAAATAGGTTTTTTTAGAAGTGGTTTACCAAGGCAAAAACTCAAACAACTTCATTTTATGGAAGTGTAAATTTTAAGGTCTGGTTATGGTTTTACTCCGTTTTTCTTGGAATAAGAATGTAAATATTATAACTTCCTATTTACTACCTATTTCCTTACTGGTCTAAGTGATATCTTTGCAGAACTGAATGCTTCATTCCTTGCTATCGTGTATTGTTTTGCTTCTCCCCTTTTTGATATCCTTCCAATTTCTACTCTTCATTGTGCTAGAGCTTTTTCTAGCTAGATATTTTTCTAAATATTGTTCTTAGACTTCAGATTCCAAGAAAAAGCAGTTAATGGGAATGGGAGGACTCCTTTTTTTTTTTTTTTTTTGAGACAGAGTCTCACTCTGTCACCCAGGCCAGAGTCCAGTGGCACCATCTTGGCTCACTGCAACCTCCAACTCCCAGGTTCAAGTGATTCTCCTGCCTCAGCCTCTTGAGTAGCTGGGACTACAGGCGTGCACTACCACACCTGGCTAATTTTTGTATTTTTTAGTAGAGATGGGATTTCACCGTATTGGCCAAGCTGGTCTCAAACTCCTGACCTTGTGATCCGCGCACCTTAGCCTTCCAAAGTGCTGGGATTACAGGCGTAAGCTACTGAGCCCAGCCTGAGAACTCTTTTTTTTTTTTTTTTTTTTTTTTTTGAGACGGAGTTTCGCTCTTGTTGCCCAGGCTGGAGTGCAATGGCACGATCTCGGCTCACCAAAACCTCTGCCTCCCAGGTTCAAGCGATTCTCCTGCCTCAGCCTCCCGAGTAGCTGGGATTACAGGCATGCGCCACCACGCCTGGCTAATTTTGTATTTTTAGTAGAGACGGGGTTTCTCCATGTTGGTCAGGCTGGTTTCGAACTCCCGACCTCAGGTGATTCGCCCGCCTTGGCCTCTCAAAATGCTGAGATTACAGGCGTGAGCCCCCTGCCTGGTGGAGGACTCCTTTTTTAATAGTTCTGGCTTACTACTTTCTTGAACCCTCTTTCTTGGTATATGTACAATGAACAGAGTTTGACTCATAGAATCATCTAATTGTAGGACTGGCGGGACTTATGGGTTTATTTTGCCAAAACCCTTTATT
Organism: Homo sapiens; assembly: GCF_000001405.40. Classification (NCBI taxonomy): domain Eukaryota; kingdom Metazoa; phylum Chordata; class Mammalia; order Primates; family Hominidae; genus Homo; species Homo sapiens. The sequence continues at coordinate 53,938,646 of NC_000001.11, read as the reverse complement.
TTAGACTTGTGGTAAGAGAGGTCTAAAGAGGTTAAGTACTACTTTTAATCATTGAAGGCAGAACTGGTTGTAACAGAGGTTTTATGATTCTTTGCATATCTTGAAGCCCATGTATCTGGATGAAATTCTAGCAACTCAGCCTCTTCCTTGAAGCGTAGTTGTCATCTTTATGGCAACTGACTTTTCTCCTCAGATTCGTTTATCTCTTTGCTGGGCTCCAATAACATTTGGTATATACCTCTGTTACCTTACTTTTTCCTTTATTGTAGTGTTTATTTTTAATGTTTGTTCCCTCTCTCAACTGTGAATTCCTGTAAGTCAGAGACTATTTCTATGAGTCAAACTTGACTAATACTGGAAAGTAATCAAAGTCTACACACATACACACATACATATAAACACATATATATGTATATATAACTGTACATTTGCATAGGGCTTTATAATTTCATAGATACTTTGTCAGTTGACCCTCACAGTAATCTTGGGGAATAAGAAGCACAAAAAAGTATTTTCAACCCCGTTGTAAAGATGAAGAAAAGAATGATCAGATGACTTGCTCAAAATAAAAATGACTTGCTCAAAATTACACAGATAAGCAAGAGGCAGAATCAACTGACACTCGTGTCTTCTAACTTGTACTTCAGGGATCTTTGTGCTACACTAGGTTAACTCAAATTTAGTTTGAATAAAAAATTCAATATCCACTTTTTGCCTGTGTCCCTTCTTTCTTCTTCTTAGTTGTTTACTTCCTGAAATTCAGGTAATAGTTACTATCCTACTCTGTCTTGGAGTAGAAAAATTAATGTGGCAACTGCTTTAAGGATACACAGAACTGAGGAGATTTGCCTTAAGTTGTTTGCCAGAAATAGAGGACTTTCCAGAAACACTCCTTGATTCTGATTGGAGATAGATTCGTTTTCTAAGGCAAGATCAATTTACCCTGCACTACTTTGGTGATCTTTCTCTCAAGCGAGTATGTTCATATGTTTATAGAACATTAAGATTAGCTATTATATATCACAGTTAATATTTTAGGCTCTGTCCATCTTGATGAATAAAGACATAATATTTTTTAGATTAGACAAAAACTGTTAGTACGGGAAAACATGGAATAATGTAATTACTGTCCTGATAACTGAACAGAATACATCGGGGACTTTTAATCCATATGCAGTTCCAGAAAATATAATTAGACTGTATATTGTAGACACTAAAAGTTAATTTCTGGCCAGGCGCGGTGGCTCATGTCTTAATCCCAGCATTTCGGGAGGCTGAGGCGGGCAGATCAGTTGAGGTCAGAAGTTCAAGACCAGCCTGGCCAACTTGGCAAAACTCTGTCTCTATTAAAAATACCAAAAAATTAGTCAGTTGTGGTGGCGTGCACCTATAGTCCCAGCTCCTCGGGAGGCTGAGGCACGAGAATCGCTTGAACCCAGGAGGTGGAAGTTCAGTGAGCTGAGATCATGCCACTGCACTCCAGCCTGGGTGACAGAGCGAGACTCTGTCTCAAAGAAAAACCAAAAGTTATTTTCTGTTCACAGTTGCTTTATCTAAATAGAGTAACCATAGGAGTATTTGGAGAAAACAGTGCTATAAATGTGTCCCTACAGGATAATGGAATATTGTTTTATGGCCCTGTTCCAAACTCTCCATTCCTTCAGAAATAAGAGTTAAATAAATAGCTGGGCATAGTGGCTGAGGCAGGAGGATAGCTTGAGGTCAGGAGTTTGAGACTAGCCTGGGCAACATAGCAAGACCGCATCTCTAAAAAAAGAAAATGATTATACTTCTACTTTTCCTCTGCCGTTTGTGTTTAATGTGTCAATGAAAAAGGGGAAAAGAAGTTCTACACTAGGAAAAAAAAAAGCAAAGTAAAAAAGAAGAGAGAAAATCAGTCCTTTTGGTGTAGTGTAGAAGAATACTATATTTAGAATTAAAATTCCTGGGTAAGTGAATTATGTGTTATCTTGGTCAAAGAGTACATATATTACTCTTTGAGCCTCAGTTACTGATCTGAAAAATGGGGATAATACCACCTTTCCTGCTGACCTCAGAATTGAGAAAAAAATCACATGAGATAATCCATGTAAAATAGGTGTTAGCTATAAATTCGTATTTAAAAGAAAACTACCACTTTGATGACTTCCTTATACATAATTACAAGATTTAGTTAGATGTCTTTTTTATTTTTTTTGAGACAAGGTCTCACTCTGTCACCCAGGCTGGAGTGCAGTGGCACAATCTCGGCTCACTGCAACCTCTGCCTCCTGGGTTCAAGCGATTCTCCTGCCTCAGCCTCCTGAGTAGCTGGGACTACAGGCATGCACCACCATGTCCGACTAATTTTTGTTTTTTTGAGATGGAATCTTGTTCTATTGCCTAGGCTGGAGTGCAGTGGCACGATTTCGGCTTACTGCAACCTCTGCCTCCCAGGTTCAAGTGATTCTTCTGCCTCAGCCTTCCGAGTAGCTGGGATTACAGATGCACGCCACCAGGCCTAGCTAATTTTTTGTATTTCTAGTAGAGACAGGGTTTCTTTTTTTTTTTTAAGAGACAGGGTTTCACCATATTGGCCAGGCTGGTTTCAAACTCCTGGCCTCATAATCAGCCCGCCTCAGCCTCCCAAAGTGCTGGGATTACAGGCATGAGCCACCGCGCCCGGCCTAGTTAGATGTCATTTTAAAATTCAGGTGATATTTTATGTTATTCTATTGGTTATGTTCATTGAAAGCATCCAAAGAAAAACATGAGGCAATTAAAATTAATGAATTTCAATAAGTAAAATTTAAAATAATATAAATATGAAAGGAGATTGTAAAATATTAAGCATTTTATAAAAACCCAGAATTTTGAGTTAGGAGAGCTGGCCTTGGCTGGGCAAGGTGGTTCACACCTATAATCCCAGCACTTTGGGAAGCCAAGGCAGGAGGATCACTTGAGCCCAGAAGTTTGTGCCACTGTACTCCAGCCTGAGTGAGAGAGCAAGACCCTGTCTCTTAAAAAAAAAAAAAAAGTAGTTCTGGCCTTTTTTTGGGGGTGGGTAACAACTTTATTGACATATTATTCACATACCATACAATTCGCCCATTTAGAATATACAATTCAGTGGCTTCCAGCCTATTCACAGAGTTACATAGCCATCTCCACAATCAATTTTAGAACGTTTTCATCATCCCAAAAAGAAACCCCACACAAGAAACCCCACACTTGTTATCAGTCACCCTGTATTTTCCCATCCATACTAGCCCTAGGCAAGCATTAATCTACTTTGTTTCTGTAGATTTTATCTATTGAGACATTTCATATAAATAGAACCATACACATGTGGTCTTTTGTGACTGGTTTCTTTTGAAACAGTGTCGGAGTGCAGTGGCGCAATCTTGTCTCACTGCAGTCTCTGCCTCCTGGGTTCAAGCGATTCTCCTGCCTCAGCCTCCCGAGTAGCTGGGATTAAGGCAGGCCCCACCACATCCGTCTAATTTTTGTATTTTTAGTATAGACGGAGTTTCACCATGTTGGCCAGGATGGTCTTGATCTCTTGACCTCATGATCCACCTGCATCAGCCTCCCAAAGTGCTGGGATTACAGGCGTAAGCCACAACCCCCAGCCGTGACTGGTTTCTTTCTTTCGTTTTTTGTTTTTTTGAGACAGAGTCTTGCTCTGTCATCCAAGCTGGAATGCAGTGGTGCAGTCTCAGCTCACTGCAACCTCTGCCTGCTGAGTTCAAGTGATTCTCATGTCCCAGCCTCCCAAGTAGCTATGACTACAGGTGTGCACCACTACACCTGGCTCATTTCTGTATTTTTAGTAGAGACAGGGTTTTACCATGTTGGCTGTGCTGGTCTTGAACTCCTGACCTCAAGCAACCTACCTGCCTTGGCCTCCCAGAGTGCTTGGATTACAGGCATGTGCTAACACACCTGGCCTGGTTTCTTTCACTTACATGTTCTCAGGGTTAATCCATGTTGTAGCACATATCAGTACTTCATTCTTATTTATTGTCAAGATTTCATTGTATGGATATAGCACATTTTATTTACGCATTCATCAGTTGATGGACATCTGGGTTGTTTCTACTTTTGAGCTGAATTTTTCCCAATTTTATTTTAAAATACCAACTTATAGACCCAAAAAACTCAGCAAGCCCCAAGCTAGATAAATACAGACATTGTATCTTAGTCAAACTGCTGAAAAAGGAAAAAAATATTTAAAATAGCTAGAAGGAAATAAAAACTATTATATACAGAGGAACAATAGTGCTAATGACAGCTGACTTTACATCACAAACAGTGGAAGCCAGACAACAATGGAGCAATATCTTTTAAATACTGGGGAAGGGAGAAACAAGCAAATATTTAAAAACCCTGTCAACCCAGAATTCTGTGTCTAGCTAAACTATCTTCCAAAAATGAAGATAGGATAAAGGCATTTTTCATCACAAGTAGACCTGCATCATAAGGAATGCTAAAGGAAATCCTGCAGGTTGAAGAGGTATAATATTAGATGGAAAATCAAACCTATAAGAAGAAATTAAGTGTACTGGAAATGATAAATATTTGGGTAAATATAAAAGACTGCCTTTTTTTCCTCTTTTAATTTTTTTGAAAGATAACTGACCACTTAATGAAAAAAACTGTATTATGGGATATATTATATATGTAAAATATATGACAACAATGGCACAAAAGTGATGTTCAGTGTAAATTGACTATCATGAGGTTTTTATGTTGTAACCTAGAGAGCAGCTATTTCAAAAATTTCTAATAAAGGAGGTATAGCTAAAAAAAAATAGAGGAATTAAATGGAATTTTAAAAAAATTATTCACTCAGAAACAGGAGAGAAGAAACAGGACAAGAATAGGAGGGAGAGACAAAAATGAATAGCAGGATGGTAGACTTATACCCAACCATATCAGTAGTTACACTAAATATCAGTGAGGCTAAACACTCCAGTTAAATATCAGATTGTCAGACTGGATAAAAATCCAAGACCCAAATATATATTGTCTAAAAGATATGCACTTTAAATATAAAGATATGAATAGTTGAAAATAAAAGGATGAAAGAAGATGCATCCTACAAACAGTTTACATAAGAAAGTCGCTGTAGTTATATTCATGTCAGACAAAAATATAAGACAAGGAGTATTACCAGAGACAAAGGGGACACGTTATAGTGTTAGAGAGTCCGTTCATTAGGAAGAGAGGATAGCTGGGTGCGGTGGCTCACGCCTGCAATCCCAGCACTTTGGGAGGCCGAGGCGGGCGGATCACGAGGTCAGGAGATCGAGACCATCCTGGCTAACATGGTGAAACCCCGTATCTACTAAAAATAAAAAAAATTAGCCAGGCGTGGTGGCGCATGCCTGTAGTCCCAGTTACTCGGGAGGCTGAGGCAGGAGAATGGCATGAACCCGGGAGGCGGAGCTTGCAGTGAGCCAAGATTGTGCACTGCGCTCCAGCCTGGGCGACAGAGTGAGACTCCGCCTCAAAAAAAAAAAAAAAAAAGAGAAAAAGGAAGAGAGGATAATCCTAAGTGTATATGGACCTAATAATAGTTCTTTAAACTACATAAAGCAAAATCTGACAGATGAAAGGGAGAAATAGACAAATTCACAGTTATAGTTAGAGATTTTAATACCCTTTTCTCAGTAATGATAGAACAATTTGGCAGAAAATCAATAAAGACATAGATGATCTGAATAATGTCATAACCTTGACTTTGTTGACGGTTATAGAACACTATAATCAACAACATGGAACAAGAATGTATTGATGGGTTGTGTATGGTGGCTCACGCCTGTAATCCCAGCACTTTGGGAGGCCATGGCAGGCGGATTGCCCGAGCTCAGGAGTGTGAGACCAGCCTGGACAACATGACAAAACCCCATCTCTACGAAAAAACACAAAAATTAGCCAGTCATGGTGGCGTGTACCTGTAGTCCCAGCTCCTTTTGGAGCTGAGGCATGAGGATGGCTTGAGCCCAGGACGTCAATGCTGCAGTGAGCCAAGATTGTGCCACTGCACTGCAGTCTGGGTGACAGAGCGAGACTCTGTCTCTTAAAACCCAGCATATTGAACATTCACTGAAATGTGCTGAAACATAAAATAAGTCTCAATATATTTCAAGATTAAAATCTTAGATAGTATGTTCTCTGACCACTGTGTAATTAAATTAGAAATAAACAACAAAAAGATATTCAGAAAACCCCCCAAAACTTAGAAATTAAACACTGCACTTCTAAATAACCCATGGGTCAAAAAAGAAATCAGAAGGGATCTTAGAAAATCTTTCTTTTTTTTTTTTTTGAGATGGAGTTTCCCTCTGTCATCCAGGCTGGAGTGCAGTGGTGCAATCTCAGCTCATGGCAACTTCTGCCTCCTGGGCCTCAGCCTCCCAAGTAGCTGAGACTACCGGCATGTGCCACCACACCTGGCTGATTTTTGTGTTTTTAGTAGAGACGGGGTTTCACCATGTTGGTCGGGCTGGTCTTGAACTGCTGACCTCAGGTGAGCACCCTCCTTAGCCTCCCAGAGTGCTGGGATTACAGGAGTGAGCCACCATGCCTGGCCTTAGAAAGTATTTCTAACAGAATGACGTTGAAAATGTAACATACCAAATTTGTAGGATGCAGCTAAAGCAGTGTCTCAAGGGAAAGTAATAGCATATATACTTATGTTAAAAAGGAAAAAAATGTAAAACCAATAATCTAAATTTTCACCTTAGGAAGCTAGAAAAAAATGAGCAAATTAAACCCAAAGTAAATAGAAGAAAATAAATAGTAAAGGTGAGAGCAGAAATCAACAAAATAGACAATTATTAGAAAAAATAATAAAGCCTAAAGTTGATTATTTGTAAGGATTAATAAAAGTTATAAACCTCTAACAAGATTAGCCAAGAAATAAAGAAAATGCAATTTATTAGAACCAGGAATGAAAGTAATATCACTACAGATTCTAAAGGAATCATATATAAAGAACAAATTTAAGCTAATACATTTGACAACTTAGATGAAATGGACAGATTTCTTGTAAAGCTCGACCTATAAAAATAACACAAGATCAATTGGAAATTCTGGACAGCCTCATATCTATTATGGAAATTAAATTCGGTCAAATATTTAGGGAAGAAATACCAGTCTTCCACAAACTTTCTCAAAAATAGAGAAGGAAACATTTCCCAAATTGTTTTATGAGAACAACATTATCCTGATAGCAAAGCCTGACAAAGACATGACAAGAAAGAAAATGGAGCGCAAAATAGTACAACCACTTTGGAAAGCTGACAGTTTCTTATAAAGTTAAATATACTTTTACCCTATGTCCCAGCAATTCCACTCTTAGTAATTACCCAGAGAAATGAAAACATGTTCACAAGCACTTGTACAAGAATACTTAGAGCAGCTTTGTTCCTAATAGTAAAAAGCTGCAAGCAATTAAAATACCCAACAAAAATATCAAACAAAATCACGAATGGAAACATTGTAGCATAGTTGGTGGTGATAGAAATCAGAGCACTGGTTGCCTAAGGGAGGTAGGGATTGTCTGGAAGGAAAGATAAGGGAAATTCTGGAGTCACGGAAATGTTCTGTATTTTCATTGGAGTATTGGTTACATAAGCGTATACATTTATCAAAACTCACTAAGTTATGCCCTTAAGGTAAATTCCACTGTAGGTAAATTTTACTTCCAAAAAAAGAAAAGCTTATATAGTTAAAATAGAAATGATTATTTCTGTAGTCAAAACCATAATATATACTATTTTGCCTATATATGACTTAAAATTGAGTGCATGTTTTAATTTTTGTTTGAACAAACATTTAGCATGTGTCTACTATGGGTGAGCCATTGTAGCAGTTGTAGGGTTACAAAGGTGAGTAAGAGAAAGAAACTGGACTCAGAGCTCAGCATCTAGTGGGAGCCATAGAAACACAGGAGATTAAGTGCCAATGTAGAGATGGAGGCTGAGTATGAGATAAGTGCAAAAGAGGGAGGAAGTGATTCTGATTTGGTGGGGTTAGATAAATGGGACCAGAAAGTGAATGAACTTATGCAAGGGGAAGAACGGTTTTTCAGGTAAAAAAAAAACCTCATGAATGAACTAAGGTACAGAAGCAAGAGCCTGCCTAACATATTTGCAGAATTTTAAGTGGCCCAGTGTGACCACAGTGATGGAAGAGACTATAACTTAATGGTGGAACCAGATCCTACAGTCTTAAATGCCATACGAAGGAGTTTAGAATTATAGGCAATAAAGGGACCACTGAGGCATTTAGATAGAAGTGACATCAATTCCGTTTCTGTGTTTTAGAAAAGAATACCTGGTAGTAGTAAAGAAGAATTATTAAAGTTGGAGAGAGATTAGAGGCAGAATTAACAGAAAGGAGATGTGAGAATCCAGTAGTCATTTAATTTTAAAAAACAGGTATTCAATAAAATTTTATGATTAACCATTTATATTTGGCTATTCTTATTTTTTCTTTAAAATTAACAATAGGAATCCAGAAACGTTTTGGACCACCACAGGAATGTTTCCCCAGGAATTCATTATTTGTTTCCACAAACATGTAAGGATTGAAAGGCTTGTAATCCAAAGTTACTTTGGTAAGCAAATCTTACATTAATTTTTTTTTTTTTTTTTTGGTGCTCCAGGTAAGGCTAATATTTTAGTTTTCATTATCCTTTCATTTTTTCCACAGGCAGAAGGCATATATGTAAACTTTTGGCAAAACACTAGTTTTTCTTTATAGCATGGAATCCAGTTTTATTGCTGGGGTGAAAGGATGGGGATTATGAGGTAAATGCCTTGAGCTCAGTTGGCCTCTCTCAAACTGCAAATTCGAAACCCTTCCAAAGCACATAATAATTTCCATGCAATTTACTATGTAAAAGTCTTTGGCAAAAGGCCCTATTAGGAACATAAGACTCCAGCTTGCTAGAACACTATTCCATGACATCTTTATTCTAGATTCATTTGTCCTGGAGTTATTTGTCAAATTCTTGTTGAAAATCTGATAACTCTGATTATTTACATTGGATAGTTGAGATTCTTCTATTACTAGTGGCATTTTCTCAGGAATTTAGGGGGATAATCTCCCTTGGGACATCATTCTAATCCTATTTATTTAAAGATAAAATGTATCAGACAAAATCATGGCGGGAAACAGAATACATCCCAGATGGTTCAAATGAAGAGGCTCTATTGATGGGGCTACTTGCAAAATTATGGCCTGGGTTAAGGGAACAAACAAGGCAAGGAATGATGAGGCCCTCAGAAACTAGCTATAGCAGGAAGCTGTAACTAGCCCTGGCACAGGGAAGGAAATAGTGTTATCAGAGATCTGTGAGAGCTGAAGCCTGTGTAAAAGGGCCTAATAGGAGCTGTAGGCAGGAGAAACTGTCAAAGATGTCACACTGAAGCAGGGAGGGAGTGGAGATAAAATTGGCTGATCTCCCTTCCCCACCCCAGTCTCCCCCTGGTGTCTCCCACTGGCCAAATCCAATCCAATCAGAAGCCAGTGGGTAAATGAATCCAGGTGATAGAGTCCACAGAGGTTAGCCCCTCATGGCACAGAACAGGACAAAGAAGAGGAGGAATGGATCTGGAGTGGTAGAGACTGGACTGGAGCAGTGGAGAAAAACCAGTTTAGAAGGAAGATGACTGTATTCCTGATAAGTCTCTTCTCTCATTAATCGTGGAGGTTCTAGAGTCATACCTAAAGTTTGAATTCCATTTCTGGCACTTATGAGCTGTATATCATTGAACACCTTGCTTGGCTCCTCTAAACCTGTTTTCTCACCAGTAAAGTGGGTTAAAGTACCTTTCTCATAAGATTGTAGTCAAAAGTGAATGGATAAATATGTTTGACTCATCATAGGCTCTCCATAAATGTTTATGACCAAGACCACCAATAGTAGTATTATCGCCATACACACAAAAAAATCGGAACAATGCCAAATTCAGAAAAGCTCTACTTGCTCTGTGTTGTATGGTTGCGAACATTTGGAAGATTAGTTACACAAGACTATATTTTACCATAGGGTTTTTTGGAAACATACAGAGTAACTTCCATGTTGTTTCTGATCCCAGTGCTCTGTGTAGTTCCACTGTGCATGATAATCTCAGGCAGAGGGAAAAAGAAATATAGGGACAAAAACATACAGCCAGATTAACACTTTACTTACTTTGTTTACAATGTTAGTACAGACCTTGAAGATTGAAAAAAGCACGTCTAAAGAGCCAGTTGATTTTGAGCAATGGATTGAAAAAGGTATGTGTTTCACCAGCATTGTTCTGAGCATGAAGGAGTAGATAATATTCCTTTGATTCTGCATTTCTCATCTAGCTGCACTTTGGTGAAAAAAGATGACTTTAATGATCCTTGTGACACATTTAGGGTCTAGAAAGACCCAGGTTTGAATACAAAGCTGCTTCTTCATTTACTGGTTATATAAGTATTAACATGTGACTTAATTTTTCTCAGTTTCAGAATCCTTATTAGGAAAATGGTGATGATATCTATCATTCAAGGTTTTGGTGAACTAGTGTCTGGCATATAATAGACAATAAATATTAGTTTCTCATCTTCTTTCCTTTTGTCCTGATTAAGGGTACTATTTAAATATCACCAGCAGAATTGATAGCCTCTACTTAATTAAACACAGCATCTTGCCTTCATATGTCTATTTTCCCTTTCAAAATACCATGAAAATAATATTAAAGGAATAAAAAGAGGCATAAACCTACAAGGACAAAAGATTTAACAACCAGCAAACTAAAGCAAATGTGAGAGATCAGTGTATATTATGATAAAGAGAAAGCAGATTGAAGAGTAGTAACTTCTTTAGCTGAATGAACTGTGTTATAACCTAAGGTCTTGACAAGGAGCATGTCAATAAGAAGCAAGCCACTTTGCCACACAAAACCCCAGAAAGGCCTAGAGCTCAAAGGCAACAGGTGCCATGGGAAGTATGAATGAGACCTGGGTCAGAAAACAAGGATGATTAGTTGAACATCTATTTACAGAGTAATCAGACTCTAGGTACCTTCTTCCGTCCTACAAAACTAGGTGACCACTCCTTTATCCCACAGACCTCCACCACAACCCTCAAGAGACAACTGCAAATATAGAATGTTGAGGCTCAGGAGACCAGATATAGTAGGGAGTGAGTGAGACATGGAGTTGAAAATACGATACTAGTGGAAGCCTACATATTGAATAGTGGGAACACCAGCCTCCTTCCTGTGTTCTGGTATTAACTTCAGCAGCCAAGAATATACCCTCAGCTGGGAGACTGGAACATTCATCTTTGGAGAAACTAAATGGCCCTAGAAAAAAGACCTATGGATACTGACAAAGGCCAGCTCATTTCTGGTCACCTTATTTAAGTCCAGTAATCAATAAGTGTGGCTCATGCACACAGTTTTCAAATGATGCACAGTTTTCAAATGATCCACAAGTAACAAAAGAAAGATCACAAGACATTAATGAAGACCTCAAACCCTGAATATAATCAAGCTTTTAGCTCTAATTTCCAATCTATAAGAAATGTAGAGGATAGAGGAACAAATTAAGTGAAACCACGAATAGACAAGATGATAAAATCTAGAATGTGGGGCCTGGGCACAGTGGCTCATGCCTGTAATCCCAACACTTTGGGAGGCTGAGGGAGGAGGATTGCATGAGTCCAGGAGTTCAAGACTGGCCTAGGAAACATGGCAAGATGTTGTCTCTACAAAAAAAAATTAAAAATTAGCCAGGGATGGTGACATGTGCCTGTAATCGTAGCTACTTGGGAGGCTGAGATGGAAGGACCACTTGAGCCCAGGAGGTTGAGACTGCAATGAGCTGTGATCATGCCACTGCACTCCAGCCTGGGTGACAGAGCAAGACCCCATCTCTTTAAAAAAAAAAAAAAATCTAGAATGTGGGACATTGTACAGGACAACTGACCTGGTCTCTTCAGTAAGTCAAAGACATTAAAAAATGTGTGTAGGGGAGAGAAAGCAGTTGAAGGTTAAAAGAGACTTAATTCTGATTTTAATAAACCAATTAAAAAAGACAGGGACAATTGGGGAAATTTGAATAGGAATTGGGTTTCATATTATATTAAACCACTATTTTTAATGTTATGATGGTGGTATTATGGTTATATAAAGAATTATTATTTAGAAATGGATAATTAAGTATTTAGGGGAAGCTAGGCTCACGCCCATAATCCCAGCATTTTAGGAGGCTGAGGTGGGCGGATCGTTTGATCTCAGGAATTCAAGAAACTACCCTGGGCAACATGGAGAAATCTTGTCTCTACAAAAAATATACATATATATTTGCTAGGTGTGGTGGCATGCACCTGTAGTCCCAGCTGCTTGGGAGGCTGAGGAAGGAGGATCACTTGAGCCTCAGAGGTGAAGGTTGCCATGAGCTGAGATTGTGCCAGTACACTCCAATCTAGGCGACAGAGTGAGACCCTGTCTCAAAAGAACAAAAAAGTATTTAGAGATGAAATGTCAATAATGTCTTACACTTGCACTTGCTTTAACTTTTTTTTTTTTTTTTTTTTTGAGACTGGAGTGCAGTGGCGCAATCTCGGCTCACTGCAACTTCCGCTTCCCAGGTTCAAGTGATTCTCCTGCCTCAGCCTCCTGAGTAGCTGGAATTACAGGCGTGCACCACGTTGCCTGGCTAATTTTTGTATTTTTGGTAGAGACAGAGTTTTCACCATGTTGGCCAGGCTGGTCTCAAACTCCTGACCTCAAATCGTCCACCCACCTCAGCTTCCCATAGTGCTGGTATTATAGGAGTGAGCCACCACACCTGGCCTAAAATACTTTAGTGAAAAAAAAAATTGATAAATCCACTATGATGAAATGTTAGTAATTATAAAATCTAGCTTATGGGTATATGTGGGAGTTTTTTTATGTTCTCTCCTAAGTATGTTTGATATTTTTCTTTTTTCTTTTCTTTTTTTTTTTTTGAGACTGAGTCTCACTCTATTGCTCAGGCTGGAGTGCAGTGGCGTGATCTCGGCTCACTGCAAGCTCCACCTCCTGGGTTCACGACATTCTCCTGCTTCAGCCTCCCGAGTAACTGGGACTACAGGTGCCCGCCACCATGCCCAGCTAATTTTTTGTATTTTTTTTTTAGTAGAGATGGGGTTTCACCGTGTTAGCCAGGATGGTCTCAATCTCCTGACCTTGTGATCTGCCCGCCTCAGCCTCCCAAAATGCTGGGATTACAGGTGTGAGCCACCATGCCCAGCCGATATTTTTCAATTTTTCATAACTAAAAAAACTAAGCAAATGAAAAAGTTTATTATTAATTTCTGGTGATAGAGTTGTACAAGAAAGAAAATATCATTATAATGTATTATTTCAGGAGTAAATAACCTTTAGATAGACAGAGTAATGTAACCATCAAGTAGGATTTCAAATTTGAGAGGAGGTAAAGAGGGAGAAGTTGAAGGAGGAAGAAGAGGGGATTTCGGTTTTAAAAAGCTAAAATTTTACCTACCATACTATATAAAGTCAGTAAAAAATTTATCAAAAAGGAATAAAAGCATATTATAATTTCAGGAAAAATAGCTTGAAGAGTTGAGAATGTTTACTTCTAGGAAGCAGGACTAGAGGAGAAAGAAGGGGTAAAGCAGATTACTGATTTTCATTATTTCAGAAAAGGGTTAGGAAACAGAAACACAGAGACTTCTCTTTTAATACTACGGGGCTTTTACATTGTGTACATTATTTAATGTGAAGTTAATTTTGAATACTGTCATTAGCTATCTTTTTTGTTGTTGTTGTTTTTTGAGATGGAGTCTTGCCCTGTCACCCAGGCTGGAGTGCAGTGGCGCGATCTCGGCTCACTGCAAGCTCCGCCTCCTGGGTTCACGCCATTCTCCTACCTCAGCCTCCCGAGTAGCTGGGACTACTGACGCCTGCCACCACACCCGGCTAATTTTTTTGTATTTTTAGTAGAGACAGGGTTTCACCATGTTAGCCAGGATGGTCTTGATCTCCTGAACTCGTGATCCGCCCACCTCGGCCTCCCAAAGTGCTGGGATTACAGGCGTGAGCCACTGTGCCCGGCTGTCATTAGCTACCATTATAGCAATTAAATCTTTCATGTTTCCAGAAGAATTGTTTGATATGATTAACTCATGATGAAATAAATTAATCTGCTCTAAAATTACATAAGGAAACATTTTTAAAATTTGGATACCAGAAAAGATTACTTCATGGGCCACACAATTATGCATCATAGTGAAAGTTTCACTGAGAAACTCAGCTCTAGTTGTTTCCCGTGGCTATGGCAAAATGGCTCCTTTCTGTTAGTAGCTGGATCCTCAAATGTTCACTTTTTTTTCTTGAAAGGGGGATTTTTTTTAAATAAATGTTTTAAAAAGAAATTTTCACATTTTATCAGTTCCTTATATCCTTTTACTATTAATATAATTGACCTTTGCATTTCCTTTTGCTTATACTCACTAGGATATTTTATAGCTCATAGTTTATCTTTTTTGCCTTGTGTATCATATACCTCTATTTTTAAATTAAATTTCAACATGCAAACGATGATTCCTTCAAACCTGGTCTCATAATTTACCAGATATCATATTTTGCTGAACATAAATTTCAATAGCTATTCTCATGTATTTTGACCCTTAACTCATTTCTTCTGTTACATTTATGTTTTAGATTTGGTACACACAGAGGGGCAGCTTCAAAATGAAGAAATTGTGGTAAGTGAATATACTTTATAGAATTAAAAATTAACCTGCACAATGTATTTAGACTTTAACCTATCTCCATAGTCATAGTTAATAAATTTCCTCATGATATTATAGGTTTGTACCTAAATCAACCGGTAGAGAAAGTTATTCTCAATAATAATATAAGCTAAATGTACATTCATAAATTAGGTTCTTACCTTTCATAGAGAGTGACGGCAAGATAAAACAATTCATTTATTTTTTGTTTTATTTTTCTCATTCATTTACTTTGAAGTATTTATTTGGTTTGCTTTCTTTCATTTGATTCTGTAGGCATTTTAGAATAGGAATGAAAAAAGGGTCGCGATGCCAAAATTGAATGTTAATTTAAGCATGAAAGGACAAGTGAGATTCATATAAGGGGAACTAGAGCATAGGATCAGCAACAAATAAGCCAAAGAGAGATGAGGTGGAAAGACAACCAGTATTTTTCGACAACATTCCATTGGGCTTTGCTTGTCAAGTGAAATGAATGCCCGTTGATGAGGAAGCTGCTGCCTCATCAGGAGTTCCGCTATTCCTGGTAGTTGGTCAGGCCCTGGTTTTAGACAAACACAAAACAACTGAATATCTATTAGGTGGTCATGCTTTGTTTAATTAAGGTTTCCCTAAATGAGGGTTAAAATAGTACCTTATCCATTAAGTTTACTTCTTCACAACTTGCCAGAAGCTGCTATTAAATCAGTGTTTCAAAAAATTCTGTAGGAAGTTTTTGAATCCCATTAGTTCCTTTCTCTCCCACCAAAATTCACCCAAGTACTGGGGAGGCCAGTGAGGTCCTGAAAAATGATTAATGTTACTGAATTTTATCTTCCTGTTTTTTTCTGTCTTTACCTAGTGGGTTATGATTAGTAAGCCCCTGCTACCTTTCGTATATTGTTTCAGGACTCCACTGTGGAGGGTTACAGCATTATAGAAAATTTGGAAAATAGCAAGGGGGAATGGGAGGCTGGAAATCACCCAGAATTTTATTACCCTGTCACAAAAACTTTTACTGTATTTATTTTCTTCTAGTTGTTGACCATATGCTGTACAGTTAGAATAATAATGTGTGAACAATTTTGTGTCATCTTTTTTTTTAACTTAGTATTATATCACAGGCTTCGTAAGTACAATTTTAAAATAACATTTGCCAGTTGGCATACATTTAAACTAATTTTCTTTTTCTTCCCTCTGTCATTACACAGTTTGTCCCCTCTGTAATACACAGGGGACATCTATGCATATTCCTGCTACTGGTACCTTCACCTTTTTTCTTACTTTCTAAGATTAAATTTCAAGGAATAGAATTACTGGGTGCAAGGTTGTAAACATACTTATAGCTTTTAAAATATATTGGCTAATTGCTTTCCAGAGAAATTATATAAATATAAAAATGTAGTCATGCTTCAGGGTAGCGTATTCTGAGGCAACATTAACCAAAGGAAACTTCTTTATTATGAAAAATACTTTAGAAAGACACTTTTTTTTTTTTTTTTTGAGACGGAATTTTGCTCTTGTTGCCCAGGCTGGAGTGCAGTGGTGCGATCTCTGCTCACTGCAATCTCTGCCTCCCGGGTTCAAGCGATTCTCCTGCCTCAGCCTCTCAAGTAGCTGGGATTACAGGTGCGTGCCACCACGCCCAGCTAATTTCGTATTTTTAGTAGAGACAGGGTTTCTCCATGTTGGTTAGGCTGTTCTCAAACTCCCAACCTCAGGTGATCTGTCGGCCTCAGCCTCCCAAAGTGCTGGGATTACAGGTGTGAGCCACTGAGCCCAGCTGACACTTTTAAAAAATTAGAAACTGGGCATGGTAGCTCATGCCTGTAATCCCAGCACTTTGGGAGACTAGCTTTGAGGCTAGTTCAAGACCAGCCTGGGCAACACGGTGAGACCCTGTCCCTACAAAAAATGAGAGTTGCAGTTTTTAGCTCCAGTTGCTATTTTTCATCAAATCAAGGCTGGTATTTAGCTGATATGTACCACAACTATTATATGTAGCTGGCCTTATGTGTTGTTATATATTTAGAATATTACTCTTGCATCAAGCTGTTTCTTTTGCTAACTGCTTGTTAACAGTTAACTAGCACTGCTAAAAGCATTTATATTGATTTTTTTCCCATACAGGCACATGATGGCTCCGCTACTTACTTGAGATTCATTATTGTATCAGCCTTTGATCATTTTGCATCTGTGCATAGCGTTTCTGCAGAAGGAACAGTAGTCTCAAATCTTTCCTCATAATGATAACAAAATGCTCTTGCATGATTTTTTAACAATATATTTAAACAGGAAGTTGTCACTGATATACTTTATTAAAAGGATTTTTATCAATTTGTTTCAGTTTTTATTTACATTCTTTTCAATATTTGGGGTAAAGGAATTCTGTTTTTATCAATCAGCAGTACTGGCCACCATGGGGGAAATTAGAAAGGTTTGGCTTCAGTATATAGCTTAATCAAGGAAGTGACTGCACATGAAAATTTAATGGGTAATACATTGCATCCCCACAGCATCCACTCTGGTGCTCTTCAGATCGTAGTGCATTAATTTTTTAATTGATTGATTGATGCAAAGGACTAAGTGAGCAATATAGACAGTAAACAATGTAAGAAGTCAGAAAAGAGAAAGTACTTATGGAAGGGTTTCACTGAGGTTATGGAACCTGAGGTGGGCCCTGTAAAACGAGTGATTTTACTTTTTAATTAAAAAAAATATTTTTTTGCAGTAGGGTCTAGCTGTCACCCAGGCTATAGTGCAGTGGCTCGATCTTGGCTCACTGCAGCCTCCATCCCCTGGACTCAAGCCATCCTCCCACCTCAGCTTCCCAAGTAGCTGGGACTACAGGTGCATAACGCCATGCCTGGCTAGTTTTTGTATTTTTTGTAGAGAAGGGGTTTCACCGTGTTGCCCAGGATTGTCTCAAACTCCTGAGCTCAAGCGATCTGCCCACCTTGGCCTCCCAAAGTGCTAGGATTACAGGCATGAGCCACCGCACCCGGCCTTTACTTTTATTTGTTCTGGCTTGAAAACCTCAGAGAAGGGTTAGAAACACATAATCTTACTTTTTGTTGTTGTTTTTGAGATAAAGTCTTGCCCTGTCACCCAGGCTGGAGTAAAGGCTGGTCTCAAACTCCTGGGCTCAAGCAATCTGCCCACCTCAGCCTCCCGAAGCATTGGGTTTGCAGGCGTGAGCCACCACACCCGGCCCTCTTTCTCTTATTTAAGAATACTATTTCTTAAGTCCATGAAAAGATCTAGAAGCAGTGACATCCAAGTATCAGTGAGCACATCAAATACCCAGATTGTGATCTCTAAATACCTTTCCCATTAATTGGAACCAAGACTCTTTGGAGGAATGGCCAATTCCAAAAGTGTGACAAGAAATAGACAAGATTAGCCTGGGACATTTTGTTGTGCCAGAAAGTAGACTAATGGATAATGTCAAGAGGATACAGAAGCTAACATGAAGGTACTCTTATTAGAAAAAAAAAAAAAAAAGGGCAATTTGAGCAGGAAAAAAAATTTTACAGTTGACTACAACCATACTGAATATATTTAAAAGTGAATCCATATTGATAGAAGAGAAAAAATAAAAGACCAAAACAAAACCCTCATTGGACTCCATGGGATGTAACTAGGGCAGAATTACTCATTTGAATATTTGTATTTAAAAGGAAAGAATTGGGCATCTATCATGTACAGACATAACCCTGGTAGATGAGAGAAAGTGCTTTGCAGAAGAATTCCTGCTCATTGATGTGGAAGATATGATAGAATTAGAGAATCATCATTAGTCCAGGCATGGTGGCCCACACCTATAATCCCAGCACTTTGGGAGGCCAAGGTGGGAGGATGGCTTAAGCTCAGAAGTTCGAGACCAGCCTGAGCAACATAGCTAGACCCCATATCTACAAAAAAAGTTAAAAATAACAAAACCAGGCAGAGTGGTACGTGCCTGTAGTCAGTCTCAGCTGCTTGGGAGGCTGAGGTGGTAGGTTTGCTTGAGCCCAGAAGATCGTGGCTTCAGTGAGTCATGATTGTGCCACTGCACTCCAGCCTGAGTGACAGAGCAAAACCCTGTCTCAAAAAAAAAAAGGAAAAAAGTTATTGATTTGCATGAAATTAAACATTGATATAGGCAACAATCAGTGGATGAGCATTAATTGAAAGATTGGTGGGGAACTTTACAATGCAGGGATCTGAATCTATTGATTTATTAAAAATGGATTAACCAGTGTATCAGTTAGCTTTTGCTCTGTTACAAACCACTTCAAAGCATAGTGGCTTAATGCAACAATTTCATTTGCTCACAATTCTGGGGATATGCTGGCAGTTTTTTTCTGGCTTGTGCTTGCTTTGCTGTATCTGTGGTCAGCTGGCAACTCCTATGGTCTAGATAGTGTAGGATGACTTCACTCACATATTTTAAGGTTTGCAGGTTAGGGATCTAGGTGCCTCAGCAAGGACTGTTCATCTCTGCTCCAAGTTGTTTCTTGTCCTCCAGGGGGCTAACCCAGGCTTTTTCAGATGATGGTCTCAGCCTTCTGAAAAGTAGCAAAGAGGGAAATCCCCAGTGTGCAAAGTTTTCTTTTTCTTCTGCTATCTCTAAATACAGTGCAAATGGTCTTTGAGTCTCTGTTTGCCATCAGATTTGCTGTTGTCTGCTTGCCAAATCATGTCATGTGTCCAAGCTCAGAGTGAAAACAAGAGGTACCTGCCCAAGGGCATGAATACAAGGAAATCTGAAAAAAAGGGCCAAGCACGGTGGCCCATGACTGTAATCCCAGCACTTAGGGAGGCCGAGGTGGGCAAATCACCTCAGGTCAGGGGTTCAAGACCAGCCTGGCCAACACGGTGAAACCCTGTTTTCTACTAAAAATACAAAATTAGCCAGGTGTGGTGGCATGCGCCTGTAGTCCCAGCTACTCAGGAGGCTGAGGCAGGAGAATTACTTGAACCTGAGAAGCAGAGGTTGCAGTGAGCCGAGATCACGCCATTGCACTCCAGCCTGGACAACAAGAGTGAAACTACATCTCAAAAAAAAGAAAAAATGGGCTGGGGTGAGAGGGAGCCATTAATGCTACAATCTACTACAGTCAAACACAGTATGCTTCCTGATGTGATTTTATGTGAAGCACACAGACCAGCCTATGAAGTACTCTTGCCAAAATTACTGAACCTGAATTTAATCAAACTCTAGAGATAACCTCCATTTTCAGGAAACTCAAGAGATAGAGGAACAAGTAAAGCGACACTGCAAGGAATCAAATACACTAGTAGCCAGTAATACAGCTTACTGAAATGTCCAGATTTGTGCTTTTCCTGGACGTGGCAAGATAATACTTCTGGCATTTGCTTAAGTAGTGCCATGTGACCAGTTCTGGCCAATGAGATGAAGAATAATTGACTTCGAGGCTGAGGCATTTGATTGCCTATGTGAGACCCTTCGGAGTTCTTTTCCTCCTGTGCCGTAATTGACCAACAATGTTCTACACAGTAACTACTTTTATCAGTCTGGGTCTGGAAGTGATACTGATGTTTAACAGGTAGCAGGGCTCCTCAAATCTTTCCTAGTAATTATAACAAAATGCTCTTGCATGATTTTTTAACAATATATTTATTTAAACAGGAAGTTGTCACTGATATACTTTAAAGTATTTGTATCAATTTGTTTAAGTTTTTATTTACATTCTTTTCAGTATTTTGGGTAAAGGAATTCTGTTTTTATCAGTCAGCTGTAGCTCAATCTGAGATGGGTATGTAGGAGGAGTAAGAAATTAAGCTTCATTGTTTTAAGCCAATGAGATTTTGGAATTGCTCGTTACCACAGTATAACCTAGCCTATCCTAACTGATAGACAAGTCTAGAATGTGGCTCATCCTACAGGGCAAGCGACCTGGTTTCTTCAAAAAGTCAGTGGCATAAAAAATGTTAATTAAGGAAAGGGGCCTGCTCTAAATTCAAGGAGACCTAAGAGCTCCTATGACCACATGCCATGTGTGGATCGTGATGGATGCTGATTTGAATAGACAAACTGAAAAATGACTTTTTTTTTTTCTTTTTTGAGACGGAGTTTCTCTCTTGTTGCCCAGGCTGGAGTGCAGTGGTACAATCTCAGCTCACTGCAACCTGTGCCTCCTGGGTTCAAGTAATTATCCTGCCTCAGCCTCCTGAGTAGCTGGGATTACAGGCACCTGCCACCACGCCTGGCCAATTTTTGTATTTTTAGTAGAGTTGGGGGTCTCACCATGGTGGCCAGGTTAGTCTCAAACTCCTGACCTCAGGTGATCTGCCTGCCTCAGCCTCCCAAAGTGCTGGGATTACAGGTGTTAGCCACTGCGCCTGACCAAAAAAGGACATTTTAAGATAATTGAGGAAATTTTCTTGTAGACTGGGTGTTATTCCTTTTACTATGTGTGATACTGGCTTTAAGCTTATGTAATAAAATGCATGAGCTTAAATGCATATAGAACTATGGGTGACTGAAATGCATATAAAGCATATGAGATGCATATAGAACTATGGATGACTGAAATGGCCTGATAATCTGGAATTTGCTTACTATTTAAGCAGAGCCTTTATAAAGGAAAGAGGGTTAGTTGAAGAAGCAAATGTGGCAATAAATTATTGAATCTGGGTGATAGATATATGGAGGTTCATTGTAGGAGTATTTCTACTTATATATGCTTTAATTTTATTTATTTTTTTTTTTTGAGATGGAGTCTTGCCAAGTTTTTCTTTTTTTTTGAGATGTAGTTTTGCTCTTATCCCCCAGGCCGGAGTGGGATGGCGCTATCTTGGCTCACTGCAACCTCCGTCTCCCGGGTTCAAGCGATTCTCCTGCCTCAGCCTCCCTAGGAGCTGGGATTACAGGCACCTGCCACCACACCCAGCTAATTTTTTTGCATTTTTAGTAAAGATGGGGTTTTGCCATGTTGGCCAGGCTGGTCTCGAACTCCAGACCTCAGGTGATCTGCCCACCTCAGCCTCCCAAAGTGCTGGGATTACAGGTGTGAGCCACTGCGCCCGGCCCGGAAAAGCAAATTTTAAATGGAGAAGAGTAGGAAAGGCATTTCAAAAGCCACCTTGGTATACCAGATAAGAGATGTGAAGGTGAGTAGTCATTCATAATGATGAATTTGGGGAAAGATGAATAAAAAAGTCTGAGTAGAGCAAAAAGTGAAACTAAAACTGAACATTACGGCTAGATCACAGGCTTTCAGGTATTTTCTTGTAACACTGGAACCATTTAAGGTTTTTGAGAAGGAATGTGAATTATAGCAATTGTGTTCATGTTCAATAAAATGAAATGCTGAGCATTTTCTTTTTGCCAAGTTTCTAAATTGAAATGGCAATAACTCTTTGTGTAAGAAACACTGTGTTGAGGCTTACAGATTGCTAAAAGGGATCTCCAGAGGTTATCTGATTGATTTCTTTGGCACAGGCCTGGTGAGTTATCTTTAAGTCTTTTTTCTCTGTCTTCTGTGGATGCAGGAAACAATTGATGACTGTAGAACACCCATTTCATATACGGTATTTGAAAACAGCATGCTTTAAACTTCATTTTTCTAGGCTTTAAAAAACTCATTCTCATTATCACCTTAAACCACTCCACATTTCAGGCAATAGATATGATATGTAGCTTTACCTTTTTGCTTTGTTTTGTATTTCACTGCTGAACTACCCCAATCACCTCTTTTTTTTTTTTTTTTTGAGAGCAGGTCTGTTGCCCAGGCTGGAGCGCAGTGGCACAAACACAGCTCACAGCAGCCTTGACCTCCCAGGCTCAGGTGACCCTCCCACCTCAGCCTCCTGGGTAGCTGGGACTACAGACACATGCCACCACACCTGGCTAATTTTTTGTATTTTTATAGAAATGTGGTTTCACCATGTTGCCCAGGCTAGTCTCGAGCTCCCAGGCTCACAGGATCCTCCTACCTTGGCCTCCCAAAGTGTTGGGAATATAGGTGTGAGCCACTGCTCTCAGCCCCTCACCTTTTTAAACTCTCATTTGTCCTCAACTGGCATCCTCTTTCCCTTTCATGTGGCCTTTTCTCCACCTGCCCATGGACTCCTGACTGCCACTGTGCTGTGTGTACTATGTATTGAGGCCTTTGTGTTTGCTGTTTCCTCTGCCTGTAGTGCTCTTGCCACTGGTGTCAGTATAGCTGGCTTCCTCATTGACATCAGGTCCTTACACAAAATTTCCTTCTCAATAAGCCTTTCTCTGGCCTCCCTATTAAAATTAGAGTGTTCCTGCACCTTACCCTCGCAAGACAAACACATTAAATCTTTCTTCCCTGTTTTATTTTTCTTCTTTTCTTAGGTTAGGGACCTGACGCAGTCACCCTGTGTTCTGTATTTAGGAGTTCTTATACCTGACTCTTCATTTCTATCATTAAAATTCCACTTAAATTTTTTTCTTTTAATGATATTAATGATGGCCCAAGTATCCTTTGAAAGATGAGGGCAGTGCCACCTGCATTCAGGTGTGATCCTCTTGAGTAGGAGATTTAATCCAATTGAATTACTCGGGGCTCTCTCACCCTTATAGGGACAGCCCTGCTTATAACTGTCTAACGTATTTTTTCTGTTTACCATGTATATCATGTTTATCATCTCTCTCACTAGAATGTAAGCTCCCCAAGGCAGGGGGTTTTTTTGCTTCTGCTCATGACTGTATCCTCAGGGCTTAGAATAGTGCCTGGCACATATATTCTCAAGAAATATCTGTTGACTGAATAAGTGAACATCGTTCATTTATTTGCACGCCTATATCTCTTTATACTGTAGAATCTTTGAGGAGCTTTGAATAAAGCTAGTCAACAATATATGAATTTTTGGATCACTTACTGTGGACCAATGCCTATCACAGCGCCTTGCATAAAGTTTAAACCAGTAAATACTTATTTAAAGCGATGGATAAAAAAGTAAAAATTTAATGACCTTTTTACCATGTACCAAGTCTAGGCAAAGAAATATTACAGAAATGAAAATTGTGTTTATCACTCATTTATACAGATTTTTTTTTATAGCATATTGCATTTGTTGAGCCCTCTCTCAGGAATGCCTCTCTGCAGGGGTCAGGCTGGGGGAGGCATCCTTTGTGGGCTTCACCTTCTAGGTGATGTTCCAGCAACCCTTTGTAACTTGACCCTGATAGCCTTCTGGGAGATAGTGTGTGGCAGTGTACATCAAAGTTTTAAACATGCATGTAGTCTTTGACACAGAAATTCCATTTCTAGAAATATAGCCTAATAATCAGATAAAGGAATATACAAAGATAAGTGGACAAAGTTTATAGCAATGATGTTTATAAGACAGAAAAACTGGAAACTACTACGCAGCCATATATTAGAAAGTATGATATATACAAACATCATTTTATAATGGGATATGAATTTTATATATATACATATATATGTTTATAAATATAAAAATGGATACTTCTGGTTAAAGATGATGGGGTAAAGCGATTTTTACTCCATCCCCTTTCTCAAAACATTCACAACAAAAAGAATTATAAAAAGAAAAACATTTTATCTTCAAGGAAGCAGCTATAATCCCTAACATCAAAATGGGACGCCCACTCACTAAGTACTGTGAAATGAGGATTTTGGTGAAGGAAGAAGCTGAGAACTGGCATATGTTCTCTCAAAGCTAGAGACTTTATTAAACGTGTCATGGTTATGAAAGGCTTATCCAACAGTCCCTTGATTAGATTGAAGAGGGCTGCAGGTGGCTCAGGAGGATGGAGAATGTCTCCAGAGAGCCTCGAGGTTAATAACAGAATGGCAGGGAAGATGGAGCTGGAGAGAATCAGGCAGGATACACCAGAGGAGACTGCTGGAGGTAAAGCATGATGAAGGAAGTTGTCTTAGCTCCAGCTGCTGTAACAAAATACCATAAACTGGGTAGCTGAAACAACAGACATTTATTTTCTCACCACTCTGGAGGCTGGAAGTCTGAGATCAGGGTGCCGGCATAGTTTCTGGTGAACCCTTTCTTCCTGCGTTGTAGGTAGCTGCCACCTTGCTGTGTGCTCACACGAGCTCTTTGTGTGTGTGTGCAGAGAGTGCACTCTGGTGTCTCTTAAGGGACACTATTCCTGTCTTATCAAGGCCACACCCTTATGACTTCATGTGATTTTCATTACCTCTATATAGGCCCTGTCTCCAAATAAAAGGAGGTTAAATCTTCAACATATGCATTTTGGGGGTTAGAGGGGCACAATTCAATCCATAGCAGAAGGTGAAAAAGCATCCAAAGTAAAGGGAGTGTAACTGAAGGGGATTTCCCTGAGCCCCATCTCAAAGGAAGGAATTTAGTTAATAATAGGCTACTCAAGACAGCGAATGTCAATGAAAGTTGCAGATTGCGCCACCTGACTCCTCATCCCACACTATGTTTCAGCAGATAACAAGCCCCACTAATGAAGACTCATAATCAGAAAAGACCCAGAAGGGGACTGCTCTGGGTCAGGTTCTCTAGAAGCAGAGCCTCCAACAAGGATTCTTTGAAGAGTGATTTATTGAGGGAGCGCTCTCAGGAGAAACCTCTAAGGAAGTGAGAGAAGCAGGATCAGGCAGAGGGAAAAATTAAACATGGCTTCTGCTGAAGTCTAGCCTCAGTCTGATCCCATAGGGAGCTCTGAAGCATGACTGGCACCGGAGAAGTAGACTGCCCCACCTTGCAGCAAGGGAAAAGGCTTTGGAATTTCAAATCCATCAGTCACTGGCTGTGGGCCACACTCAGGTGAAGGACATAATTTCACAGGTATTTCTGGGTAAGATAGCTCCTGTCATGAGGGCAAATTCTCAGGAAAGAGTGCATCTGTGAGCCATTAGCAGCCAACACTCACAGCAGCTGGCTCATGAGTACAATGGCTTGGTAAAAGGCATCTGGGCAGAGCACCAACAACACCTACTATAGCAGCGGTTCTCAAAGTGTGGTTCCTGGGACAGCAGGATCAGCCTCACCTGAGAACTTGTTAGTAATGCAAATTCCCTAGCTCAACCTCAGATCTGTCGAATCGTAAACTCTGGAGATGAGAACCAAGAATCTGTGTTGCAGCAAGCCCTCCAGGTGATTTTGTTGCATGCCCAAGTTTGAGAACCATTGAACTACACTGGCCTATGGCTAGCAACTGTAAAACAAAAGGATTGGAATTGAACCCAAACCTCTTGCAGTCTCCTGCACATAGCCCTTTTCCCACCTTTGCCCTTGTAGTTCTCCTCACTTGAAATGCCCTTCTCCCTTCCCATCTTCTCCAGGCTCCCATCCCAAATTATGGAAGTACTGGGCATCTTTGAAGACCAGCTCAAATGCCACCAGCTCCAAAAAGCATTGTTGGATTCACCCAGCTCAGAGGATTGCTGTCTCCTCTGTGCCCTCTGAGCACTTAGTCTTCACTCTAACATATACTCCACCTTGAGTTATGGTCATTGGAGTGTATGTCTGGTCCCCTGTGAGATTAAGCTGCTGGAGGACAACAGCTCTTCCTCGTCCATCTTTGCATAACTCTGCACCCAGAAAAGAATCAATGCTCAATGTTTGATGCATTAAGTTGAAGAGAATCTAATTGGAAAGCCGGGGGTCTATTTTTGTCATTCTGAAAAGCTCCTCAGTTCCAGCTACTATTATTTAGTGAAAATGGGGAGATTTCTGTGCATTTGTAGACACGAATTGGAAGACCATCAGAGAAGTGATTCAGAAGAGGCTTGCCTTACATCCTGTCTCCTTTTGTGCAACTTAGTACTTAGGAGGAACAGTGAGTGCTCATCTGTGCTTCAGTCCCATCATTGTCACAGCTTCTCATTTTCAGTATAGCCTCACAAACTCATGCCTATGTTGGTCATGAGTGGCTTTGGTAGGATGGGGAATTTTTATTCAGCATCCATATTGTCTTGTCCTCCTTCCACCTCCAACCCCCCAAAAAAGGGCCCGAGGAAGCAGTTGTGGGACAATAATTATGATAATCGTAATAATAGCCAACACTTCATGACACTTTCTCCAAGTCAGGCACAGTTCTGAGTGCTCTACTCATGAATCTATGGACTAGGCACTATTGATACCCTGTTTTATAGGTCAAGATACCAAGGCAGCTTGATCAAAGTCACCCAGCTGGCAGGAACAGAGCTAGGACTCTGGCCTTGAAGTTAGAGATCCGGTTTGAATCTCGGCTTGTTACTTACTAGTTCTGAGAAGTTATGCAAGTTACTTAACTCTCTGAGCCTTGATTTCCTCATCTGTAAAATGGGGATAATCATCTCCTCTTTGAGATATATAGAGATTAAATGAGATAACATATCTGAAAGTGACTGTGCCTGGTAGATGATTAATAATAACTTTTTTTACGGAGTCTCGCTCTGTCACCCAGGCTGGAATTAAGGGGCACCATCTTGGCTCACTGCAACCTCTGCCTCCTGAGTTCAAGTGATTCTCCTGCCTCAGCCTCTTGCAATAACTATTTTTAAAATAATAAAGTGACAACATTAATAATATTAACTTTGTAGCAACTAAAGTATAGCTAAAGAGAATATGTTCTCATGCTAGCAAAAGGTCTCCTGATCCATTCTTTTATGTCATGTTATAAAGGTAATTTGATTCCAATGTGAAAAATTATTTCACTCCAGCAGGAGTTCATAAGACAAAACCACATTTAACATGTAACATAGGGCCTGAATGTTCTTCCCCCAAAATGAGGCCCTTTCAGCGTATGGTATTTTTGCTGGTCAGATTACACTGGGTAATCAGATACAAATTGGAAAAGAAAATGTAAAGATCACACGGAAGCCATCCAAAATAGCCTGATATATTTTAATAATTCTGTTATTAGTTTACTGCATCTTATAACATTTTCTTTTGAATCAAGTCACAGCCGTGTGTACTTTAGGCTGTGGCCATCATAAACAAATATGTAAAGACACAGAGTTAAAATAGATGAATACCAATGGCTATCCATCAGTTTGATGTAATCTAACACAAATGACCATTAAGAGACTTGCGAAGAAATCAGAGAAACAGAATTTCACAAATGAGCTTCTGCATAACTGAATGACAGCATTGCTGGTGCCTATTGTTTGGTTTGGTCAAGGTTATGCTTTTGGGAAGCCAACCCTCCCTTCTAGATGACTCTGTTGAAAAGTGAGGCTAGTGGAAGATTTCAGGGTACAGAGAGCTAGATTTCTATGAAATATATTCAAAGATGGTAAAGTGAGTACTCTCCTCTTCCCTGGTAAAATTAGGGATGTGTTACCATGGAAACTCACCCATCATCACCACCAATGTGGACAGGTTTAAATCTTTTGGCAAGGAGAGGATGACTGCCTCCTCCTGTTTCTAATCCCTCCTCTTCCAACTCCTCATCTCTTCCTAACAACTGGAATTCTTCCCATAATTGGTTCTAAAAACTAATTTAGTGTCTTAAATGATCAATTCCATAAATGCAAATTGGGTAAAATGAATTTCCCTAATAGAAGGAATGCCAGCTTGAATTACTTGGTATCAGAGTGGCTGGAGAGAGATACCGTACCTCAGAAGTGTGCCTGTAGAGTGCAACTGCTCTCTCAAAGACCGTGTGCAGGGAATGTGGTCTCCAAAGTGGGAGCAGTGTCAGGCTCTACTTTCTTCAACAGGGAACTGTTTCTTCAACAGGGAACTGGCCTGAACAGCTCAAGTGTTGCTTCATTTTCTGATAATAACAATTTGTCTTGATTGGGTGCTGTGGCCTGCATTCCTCAGCTGGGAGTTGTTTGCTTAGATCAGAAAAATCTGAGCTAGTGATTCAGCTAGGGACACAGGTCAAGGGTAAAAGCCAGCTGGGTCTCAGGGAGAGCTAAGCCTTGAGAAGCCCTCCCGTTGGTCACCTAGAATTGAGGTATCTGTCCAGATTAACTGTGGAGCTTTTCCAGAACAGCACGAACTTCCTCTGGGTTGTAGTTCCAAGGGCCAGATTTACCCTGCAAGAGAAACGAATCAGGCATTCCCAACTTGTAAGGATTTCCAAGTTGTAAGGAACATGTAGGTCTGGAGGTTAGTTGCAAGAGGTGGTCAAATGATGTCTGTGTAGGAGCCATCAGCATGGCTAATTCAATGGCAGATGCAACCGTGAGGTGGTTGAGAAAGTGTGTACAGTGGCATCAGCAGTTAACAGGAAGGTTGGACAGAGAAGTAGAAAAACTAGAGGACATAAAGTGACATAGTCTTTCAAAAAGAGAAGGGTTCTGTACAAATAAGCTTTTCTTCCATAATCAGACCTTCAGACTGGCCTAATCTTCTCCAGCCTTCACATCAAGTTCTACCCATCCTACCTCAGAACCATCTCTGCCTCTCCAGTTCTACTGCCCTAGGTCAGCCCTTTTCATCCTACAGCCTGGGCAGCTGCCACCCCTCCCAGCTATCCCCAGTCCTTAGTCCCTGCTCCCTCCTGTCCATTTTTCAACCAGGAACCAGTGAACTTTTTTCTTTTTTTTTTGAGACAGAGTCTCGCTCTGTTGCCCAGGCTGGAGTGCAATGGCGCAATCTTGATTCACTGCAACCTCTGCCTCCCAGGTTCAAGCAATTCTCCTGCCTCAGCCTCCTGAGTAGCAGGGAATACGGGTGCACTCCACCACGCCTGGCTAATTTTTGTATTTTTAGTAGAGACAGGGTTTCGCCACGTGGGCTAGGCTGGTCTCGAACTCCTGGCCTCAAGTGACCTGCCCGCCTTGGCCTCCCAAAGTGCCGGGATTACAGGTATGAGCCACCACGCCCGGCCATGGAACCAGTGAACTTTCTTTTTCTTTTCTTTTTTTTTTTTGAGAGAGTCTCACTCTGTCGCCCAGGCTGGAGTGCACTGGCACAATCTTTGCTCACTGCAACCTCCGCCTCCCAGGTTCAAACAATTCTCGTGCCTCAGCCTCACAAGTAGCTGGGATTACAGGCACACGCCACCACGCCTGGCTAATTTTTTTGTACTTTTAGTAGAGACAGGGTTTCACCATGTTGGCCAAGCTGGTCTTGAACTCCTGACCTCAGGTGATCTGCCCGGCTCAGCCTCCCAAAGTGCTAGAGTTACAGCCGTGAGCCAGTGAACGTTCTAAGTACAGGTCCGATCATGTCTCTTTCCTGCTCCAAACCCGTCAGTGGCTCTCCTTTGCCCTAAGATGAAGACCAAACCCCTTGGTCTAGAATGAGACCCCTGTGTAACCCCAATGTCTCCAATCGTTTATTCACACTCTGCCCTACTATGCCTCAGTGCCTCCACCCACCCTCTTCCCTATACCGCAGTGATTTTCACTCACTGTGCTCACTAGGCCAACTCCTTATCCTTTAAGGCCCAAGCAATTGCTGCCCCCTCTGAGAAGCCTACCCTTCCCCAGAGGTTGAAAAACTTACAGTCTGAGAGCCAGGTTAGTCCTGATGCCTCACATGCTTTCATTTGCATGTCGTCTGCAGCTGCTGTTGTGCTATAACAGCAGAATTGAATTGTTGCGA
This sequence comes from Homo sapiens, assembly GCF_000001405.40. NCBI lineage: Eukaryota > Metazoa > Chordata > Mammalia > Primates > Hominidae > Homo > Homo sapiens. Next base: position 53,908,414 of record NC_000001.11, on the reverse strand, counting down.
CAGGGATTACTTGGCACAAAGTTGAAAATATTTACTATCAGGCCCTATACAGAAAAGGCGTGCTGACCCCTGCTCTGGAGTCCCCCAGCAGTTGGGACACTGTAATAGTCTTACTTGGGTCTTCCTTATCCCTCAGCCTGTGAGTACCTTGAAGTAAGGGTGTGGGCCATTTTCTTTTTTTCTTTTTTTTTTTGAGACGGAGTCTCGCTCTGTTGCCAAGACTGGAGTGCAGTGGTGCGATCTCGGCTCACTGCAACCTCCGCCTCCCGGGTTCAAGCAATTCTCCTGCCCCAGCCTCCCAAGTAGCTGGGATTATAGGCACATGCCACCATGCCTGGCTAATTTTTGTATTTTTAGTAGAGACAGGGTTTCACCATGTTGGTCAGGCTGGTCTCGAATTCATGACCTCGTGATCTGCCTGCCTCAGCCTCCCAAAGTGCTGGGATTACAGGCATGAGCCACTGCGCCCGGCCGGTCATTTTTTTTTTTTTTTTTTTTTTTCCGAGACAGAGTTTCACTCTTGTTGCTCAGGCTGGAGTGCAATGGTGCGATCTCTGCTCACCACAACCTCTGCCTCCCGGGTACAAGCGATTCTCCTGCTTCAGCCTCTCAAGTAGCTGGGATTACAGGCATGCGCCACCACGCCTGGCTAATTTTGTATTTTTAGTAGAGACAGGGTTTCACTATGTTGGTCAGGCTGGTCTCCAACTCCCAACCTCAAGTGATCAGCCTGCCTCGGCCTCCCAAAGTGCTGGGATTACAGGCGTAAGCCACTGCACCCGGCTAGGTATGAGTCATTTTCAATTCATTTTTGTGTTTCCAGTATTTGCACAGGGCCTAACCCAAGGTAGGGATTCAGTGCCCAGGGTGCCTCAATCATGCCTGAACCATGTCCCAAGGTACAGGAAAGGATGAAGGACCCACATTCTTCTACTGTGACCCTTGCACCTTGGGAATTTGCCTGCAAGTTTTTGCTTGTTTTATCTGAATAGGTAGGGTCAGCTTGATCTTGATCTGTGGACAGAGGAGCATCCACATACTTGGTTTCATCTGCTCTCCAAGGCTTGAAATCCCTTCAATAGCTTTAAAATGTAGTTTCTACCTTCTTAAGGGAGGCCAAGCCAACTGTGTCTAAAGAGTCAGAGGCTGTGCTTACCTCCCTCACCCTGACCAGGCTGGAACTTTTGAGAGGAAGCAATCACAAGAAAGGGAGCCTGAAATGCATTTCTGCCGCACATCCCTGCGTCCAGCATTTCCAGCTCCAAACCACGGGTTCCATTCCCCTTGAGACTTCTACCCCGCCAGCCCTGGTTCAGGCCTGCCGCAAATGTTAGCAGCTTCAGACCTTCTCATTTCTGGCCCACCCGATCAAGGGCTTTAGAATTGAAATCAGAGCCTTGCCCAGCGTGACCTTGGACAAGTCAATTCCCCTCTCTGAACATTGTTCATAAAACAAAAACAGACCGGGCACGGTGGCTCACGCCTGTTATCCCAACACTTTGGGAGGCCAAGGCGGGCAGATCACTTGAGGCCAGGAGTTCAAGACCAGCCTGGCTAACATGGTGAAACCCCGTCTCTACTAAAAATACAAAAATTAGCTGGGCGTGGTGTGCGCCTGTAGTCCCAGCTACTTGGGAGGCTGAGGCAGGAGAATTGCTTGAACCCGGGAGGTGGAGGTTGCAGTGAGCCAAGGTCACCCCTCTGCACTCCAGCCTGGGCAACAGAGTGAGAGTCTGTCTCAAAAAAAAAAAAGAAAGAAAGAAACCCAAAAAACAGAGAACAAAAACAACATTCTCTGTCTCTGAGTTTGAAACCAGACCAGGACTGGGCCATCATCTGGGTTCAAAAGGAAGCCGGGAGGATGCAGCTCCAGTCCAAATGCTAGGGACATTCGTGTGCATTATTTCATCCCCCGTGAGGTGGAGACCAACATTCCCATTTTGCAGAAGAGGAAATTGAAGGAACTCCAAGAAGTGAAAGCACTCGCCCATGGTCACATGGCTGGTAAGTGGCTGGGTGGTGATTTGAATCCAGTTCTGCTTGATGCAAAGCCTTCTCTTTGCCCTTGCCCTCCCTGGGCCCCTTTGCCCTCCCTGGGCCCCCTGTCCCCAGGTCACCACCTTGTAGAGGATCCTGCCCTCCTGGATTATGTAGAGCCTCTCAGGCAGTGCTGCGTAGAGCTGGCTGCTCTGGTTCTGCATGGTGTCCACCACCACAGGGCACTGGGGGCTCCTGGCCAGCAGTAGATGGGCTGCCTGCAGGCGATCCTGAAGGTTCTGGTGATTTCTGATGTCCATGTTGTTCTTAAAAGCCCAGCCATCTACAAGAGAAAGGCCAGGCACCGAGTCCCATTGACACAGCACACACTTCCTGCAGACTAAATAGCCCCTCACTTTTAACTGAGGTTCTCAGAGGAGCCCTTGGCAATGATTTGGCCTGGTTTCCCATTATGGTTGAATGTGCAAGGTCACGTCAGGAATTAGTGATTGATCCAGAACTGAAGCCCAGGGCTTCTGTCTGCCAGACCCCTGCTCTTCAACGTGAAATAGTCCAATAAACCAGCACTCCTTGATCTTGAATGTGCATGAATCATTTGGGGACCTTGTTATAGGAAGATTCTGATTCGGTCTGTCGAAGGTGGAACTGAGAGTCCATCTAACTCCCAGGATGCCAAGACTGCTGGCGCCTAGACCATACTTGGAGAGGCAAGGGTTTAGATCAGTAGTTCTCTAAGTGTGTGTCCCCAGACTAACAGCATCAGCGTCACCTGGAAGTTTGTTAAGTAGTGCAAACCCTAGGCGTCAGCGTGGATGGACTAGAAATGGGACCCAGACATCTGCGTTTTAACAGCCTTCCAGATGATTCTAATTCATACTGAGTTTAAGTACTATTTTTTCTCCTAATTCTTCACCACAGTGTTCTTTCAAAAATACAAATATAGGCTGGGTGCAGTGGCTCACGACTGTAATTCCAGCACTTTGGGAGGCCGAGGTGGGCAGATTGTTTGAACCTAGGAGTTTGAGACCAGCCCGAGTAACATGGTGAAACTCTGTTTCTACAAAAAATACAAAAAACTAGCTGGGCATGGTGGCGTATGCCTGCAGTACAGCTACTTGGAAGGCTGAGACAGGAGGATCGATTTAGCCCAGGAGGTTGAGGCTGCAGTGAGCCATGTGAGTGCTATTGCATTCCAGCCCCAGCTCAGGCGACAGAACAAGACCCTATCTCAAAAAAAAAAAAAAAAAAAAATAGCCATAAGGCCGTCATTTCACCTGTGACATTTTGGGTCTGAATTCTTTGTAAATGTGTTCAAATCAGTTCTTCTCCCTTGACTTCCCTATTTATCCGATCAAAATGTTAGAATCCTCTCCTAGCCAGACCCTGTCACTCCAGGTGTTCTGCTCTCTGTACCCTGGTTGAAAGCACAGACTGTGAGGTTAGCCCAGTGCAGGGCCTGGGAGTGGTGGGTGCTCAGTGAATAGTGGCTCTTTCCCTCTCCCCTCCTCTTCCTCCTTCCACCTCCCAACCTTGAGATGGGGCCTGGGGAAAAGGGAGAGAGAAAAGACAGTGGGAAGAGGTAGAAGAGGCAGAGAATCTTTCTGTACCTGATGCATGTGCTTCTTCAATGTAAATGACAAGAAAATCTGCTATGGAACTAAAGTCTTCAATAAGCCTCTTGAACTGGTCAAATTTGAACATAAATGAAGGTCAGGTACAACTTCCAAAATTCAGCACCAGTGGCCTATTACCTGAAACAGCAACAACCATCACAAACTGAGACCCTACACACAGCTTTCTTTTACAAGCACCATTTTCACTCCTATGTTCAATTCTGTTATTTTTATTTCCCCCTACCCCCCACCCCAGGATGGGTCCTAGGCACTGGGGTCCGACACCTAGAGAGCATGACTTAGCAGGGGCTGGAGCTGGTTTACTCCTCTCTAAAATGAGAGGTTTTTTTAGGTGGTCTCAGTGGACCACCTGCAGTTGCCGCATAGCAGTTTAAATATAAGAGGAGTCCCTTTCATGCAGTTTATAAGGCAGGTATGCATCCATTCTGTCATGCGATGGGATTAGTAATACTGCAAGGTTGGTCATTTTTTCCCCCCATTTTATAGACAAAGAAACTGAGTTTTACACATTTGCTCCAGGTCACACAGCAGGTCAGTGAGGAGTTAAAATGAACATTCTGGTTTCTGAACTCTCAATTCAGTGCTCTTTCTATTCATAGCACTTCAGTTTCCTCATCCACAAGGGGGGCATAATAATCCTTTGTAGCACTGTTAGGAGGATTAAATAAATTAATAGAGATAAGGGCTTAAACTGGTTACTGGCCCATAGTAGGTGCTTCATAAATATAAGCTGTTGCTATGAGCTTGTATCTCCTCCCTGAGCTATGAAGTAGGGAGGCACCGAAGGCAGCTCCACAAAGAGAGTGAATGCTAGGAGCAGGACCAGCTGCATAATTTGCTGGGCCTGCCGCCAAATGAAAATGCAGGGTTCCTTGTTCAAAAAGTGGGGGAAAGTGCCATTAAATTTATTAAAATATAAAGACGTTTCTTTTTTATTTTTTTGAGATGGAGTCTCACCCAGGCTGGAGTGCAGTGGTGTGATCTCAGCTCACTGCAAACTCCGCCTCCGGGGTTCAAGCGATTCTCCTGCCTCAGCCTCCTGAGTAGCTGGGACTCCAGGTGCACACCACCACACCTGGCTAATTTTTGTATTTTTAGTAGAGACGGGGTTTCACTATGTTGGCCAGGCTGGTCTCAGACTCCTGACCTCAAGTGATCCGCCGGCCTCGGCCTCCCAAAGTGCTGCGATTACAGGCCTGAGCCACCGTGCCCAGCCTGAAATACAAAGACATTTCTAATCTTCTGTAGTCCCTCTCTTGACCTGGCATCGTGTCTTTTAGTTGCTATTTGATGTCATACTCCCCTGGGGTATTCATAGAGTGAGAGCAGATCCTCACAGCTACCCAGCACCCCAGAGACCGAGTGTGTGTGCATTTCCCTTTCCCTCCAGCCACCAGACCAACATGCCATGCCCCGCCCAGCATCACAGAAGTTGAGCCAGACATGGCCCCTTCCCACCTGCCCACCACCCCAACCCACAGGGTATTGCAACCTCTGTAAGGAACATACTAGGTACCTTGATGGGGGAAAGGGTGGGCAAGAGGCTTCCCCCACCCTCAGTCACTTGGCGAATTGCACTATGGCACTGCGAGCCCGGGATGGGGACAGCTGCCATGCAACACTGGGGGACGTGACACCTGACCCCCACCTTCCTCATGTCTGTATCCAGGCCCACTCTGGGGTCAGGAGATGGCAGCAGTCACTGGGTGGAAGCAGGAAGGAGCACCTGGGGATGGGAGAGTGGGCCTTAGAGAACATGTCCTGGAGGGGCAGGGAGGCTGTGGAAGGCAGGAGCCTGTGCAAGCAGAGGCTCCAAGTCCTCAGGGCATGCTCCATTGTCCCGTAGGGTTTCACTTACAAAATGCAGATTCAAAGATAAAATTATGAAGAATTTCAAGACATACTTTACAACTCTGGTGTGCTAAAAACAACAACAGCAACAAAAATTCAAGACAGCTGCTGCAGAACATTAAATCCCAAGGACAAGGCCCTTTTGAGTGTAGGTCCCTGTGTGATTCACTGGTCCCATGTCCATGAAGCCAGCCCTGGGTGGAAGCCTTCTGTAACTCCCCATCCTAGACCAAGGACAACTCTGGGGAGCAGCTGGCCTCCTGTGGTTTCTTACGGCCAGAGCTGACATTGTTGAGCCCTTACCATACATTTATTGGAGCATGGCTAGTCTTGCACTGTGACATGGCCTGTTTAAGTGTCCACATACCCCCAAACCCCCCTACTCATTGTCCCCTGAGGGCAGGGCCTGTTCCTCATTCATCCTCGAATCTCCAGAATGTAGTATACTCTCATCCTATCTACAAATATTTATTCAGCACTTAAAATATGCAAGTCTCCCTGCCACACACTGGGGATTCGGCAGAGAATGAGACCAGCAGCTCTCTGGCTGTGTGCAGTTTGAAGTCTGCTTAGTGGGGAGACAGGCAAAAAAAAGTAAGTAAATGCGTAAATGAAGAAGTTTCAAATTGTGATCAGTGTTACGAGAGAGGCTATAAAGGAGTTACCTATTTTAGACAGGCGGGGCAGGGAAGGCCTTTGAGGAGCTGCCATTTAACCTGAGAAATGAAAAACAGGAGAGAACCAGCCATGGGAAAAGGGAGAAAGGGATTCTAGCCAAAGAGACTCACACAGAGTCCCCAAGGAGGGAGAGAACTTGGTGTGTTCAAGGCCCCACAAAACCACTGGCAGGAACCCGGCATAGAGAGCAACAAGAGAAGGGTTGGAGTGTTAGGGATGGACCAGAGCAGGCAGGCTCCCATAAGCCTTTGTAAAGAATCTGGATTTTATCCTAGGTATGTGGGCTATCATAGGAATATAAAGCAAGGGTGGTGAATATTATTGCATATTTTCTTTTTCATTTTTTTTTTTTTTTGAGAGATGAGATCTTGTTATGTTGCCCAGACTGGAATGCAGTGGCTATTCACAGGTGCCATCATAATACACTACAGCCTTGAACTTCTGGGCTCAAGTGATCCTCCTGCCTCAGCCTTCTGAGTAGCTGGAACTATAGGTGCACTTGACTATATCTGACTTGTTTGTTGCAGTTTTGGCTGCCCAACTCCTAACTCTCCTTCCTACTTAGAATTCCCTATTTTGTATTCTATTTATGAAACAGTGTGCCCAGCCTTGCTCTTTGGAAGACAGAAGGGCCAGGTTCGCACTCTGCCCCTGGCAGCCAGGGCTCAGGCAGTGACCCCAGCTGGGCTAATTATACCCTTCCACATAGATCTTTGATTCTGGGAGTCATTGAGACGGCAGAATTCATCCACAGCCCAGTTGTGGTGCTCCTGTAAGGGATGGTGATGGGTTCCCATGGCAACCACAATGACAGCAGGATCCAGGCCCAACTATTGATGCTAAAAGACAGTCCAATCAAGACCAGCTGATATTGTTTCTGGAAAGCACTCAACACCTTTCCAGTATGTTCCTTTATGTACATATGTGTGTGTGACCAAGAAAACCAGAGGGAGCTTCTGTTGCTTACAAGCCAGAACCTGACTGCTACAGTAGGGCCATGTAATAACCAGATTTACACTTGAAGATCACTCTGGCTGCTCTGTGGAGAAAGGACTAAGAGTGAAAATGAAAGTGAGGGATAAGCAGTTAGGGGGCACTGGAGAAGTCTACATGAAAGACAATGGGTCTGGATGCAGTAGCTCACACCTGTAATCCCAGCATTTTGGGAGGCTGAGGCAGGAGGATCGCTTGAGCCCATGAGTTCAAGACCACCCTGGGCAACACAGTGAGACCTTATCTCTGAAAAAAAAAAAAAAAAAAAAAAAAAAAAAGTTAGCTGGCCCTGGTAGGGTGTGCCTGTAGTCCCAGCTACTCAAGAGGCTGAGGCTGGAGCGTCCATTAAGCCTAAGAGGTTGAGGCTGTAGTCAGCTGTGATTGTGCCATTGCCCTTCAGCCTGGGCCACAGAATGAGACCCTGTCTCTATAAGAGAAAAAGAGAGAAAATGGGCGCCTGGGCTAGCTAGTGTGGGGCAGTGGAGCTGGGGAGAAGGCAGAATTGACAGGGTTTGCAGATAGATGGGGAGTAGAGGGCATCTTAACTTACATGTGGTTTATTTGGTTAACTATACCCCCTCTGTGTTCTGCAAAGAATTTAAAGCTCCTTACACCTATACTAACACATTAAATGGAATTTTTTTATTTTTTATTTTTGAGATGGAGTTTTCCTCTGTCACCCAGGCTGTAGTGCAAAAACGTGATCTCAGCTCACTGCAACCTCCGCCTCCCAAGTTCAAGGAATTCTCCTGCCTCAGCCTCCTAAGTAGCTGGGATTACAAGCGTGCACCACCATGCCTGGCTAATTTTTGTATTTTTAGTAGAGACAGGGTTTCTCCATGTTGGCCAGGATGGTCTTGAACTCCTGACCTCAAGCGATTCACCGGCCTTGGCCTCCCAAAGTGCTGGGATTACAGGCGTGAGCCACTGCGCCTGGCCAGAATTTTTTTTAATCATGCCCCTCTGGGAGGTGTAGAACAGGAGGGGAAAACGGAATACACACAGGCCATAGGTCCCATGCATTTGTTATAACTGAGCTATATTTTGACTCTGAGCTTCCTGGTGGCCAAGTAAAAGAAGAAACAAAATTGGCTTATATTCTCAATTTTTAGCATATGAGAGGAAAGCAGACTAGTTTCACTGGACATACGAAGCCCCTCTCCTTGTCCTTGGGTCAGACTTTTTCTTAAAAGGCCTGAGGAGGCATTGAGTGGCCTCAGTCTCTGCTGGTTGACTGCACTATGATTTCTCACCCATGTGACAAGGAGGCCCAGGCTTCAGGAGGGCAGCTCAGAGGTCAATTGTGGCCAAGTGGCTGGTCACTGGCCTCCAATGACCCCAGAGAGTCACTCTGTCACTCTTTAGGTAGGAACCCAAAAAGCCTGGGCAACATAGCAGGACCCTGTCTCTTAAAAAAAAATTATCCAGGCGTGGTGACACATGTCTAGTCCCAGCTACTTGGGAGGCTGAGGCAGCAAGACTGCTTGAGCCCAGGAATGAGGCTGCTGTGAGCTACGATCGTGCCATTGCACTCCAGCCTGGGCAACAGCATGAGACCCCATCTCAATAAAAATAAAAAATAAAGAACCCAAAAGACTTATGGTCATGATCAACTCTAAGTATCAGCTGTATGAAATTTTGTTTTTAATTGGGAAAAAAACTCAACATCCACTGATTCAGACCCTGGAAGAGACAGAGCCATTTGTTTAATTATTTATAGTGTGGTTGGGTACAGTGGTCAGTATTGAGGGCAAAGTTTAAACTAAGCTCTCTGCTTTCCTCAGCAGCAGAGAGGTAAAGGATGGGTGCATGGGGGCTGGCACCCTGCCCATGTCCACAGACCACAGTGCAGAGAACACCATTTCGAGAATCCAGTGAAGACTATCAAGTCCAACTCCTTTGTATAAATGGGAAAACAGCCCAGACCAGTAAATTAACCCCCATGTCAGGATCTGTCAGCAGAGAAATCCTATTTATAGTTATTGGACAACACTTGTAAGTACAGCTGGAAAGACGTTAGAAGATTTTAAACAGGGGCTGAAATGAAGCCAATTTCAGATTAACTCTCAGGTATCCAGAAAGTAAATCATCCAGAACTTGCCTTCTGCCACACCATGCCAGTTACTCGATGTTTTGTTCTGTGTGTGTCCAAGAGTGTGTGTATATTGTGTGTGTGTGCGTGTGTGGACGCACAGAGGGCTGGAGGTGGCTGAGAGTTTCCCTGAGCTCCTGCTGTCGTATCCAGTAGCAGCAAGTGCACGAGCTGAGAGTCAGAAGTCTAGTTCTGGCTCTTCTAAGAACTCACTGTGTGACTCTAAGCGAGTCATTCACCTCTCTGGACTTTTGCATCTCAAAAACGAAGCGGTTGCTTTAGATTATCAGTAAAGATTCTTCACGTCTCTCTGTCTCTGGCTCTGAGTTCAGAGTTTATACCCAAAGCATACAACAGAGCTTTTTGGTGGCCTGGTGGGTTTCCAAAGTAGTTACAACATGTCTCTTTTTTTTTTTTTTTTTTTGAGACAGAGTCTCGCTTTGTTGCCCAGGCTGGAGTGCAGTGGCGCAATCTCAGCTCACTACAAACTCCACCTCCCGGGTTCAAGCAATTCTCCTGCCTCAGCCTCCCAAGGAGCTGGGATTACAGGCGCATGCCACGATGCCCGGCTAATTTTTGTATTTTTAGTAGAGACAGGATTTCATCAGGTTGGCCAGGCTGGTCTCGAACTCCTGACATCAAGTGACCCGCTGGCCTCGGCCTCCCAAAGTGCTGGGATTACAGGTGTGAGCCACCATGCTCGGCCAATGTCTTTCTAATAAGCAGAACTGATCATGTTTACTTCTCTCTTGGAAACCCTTCCAGAACTCACCAGTACTCTCAGGATAAAGTCAACCTGCAGCTACGACACACAAGGCCCCGTAAGCTCTGGTTCCTGATGATGCCTTCAGCCTCATCCTTCACCCCTTCCTGCCTCTGGGACCCCACTTGTGCCAAACTGAATGTTGCTTCTCCACATCTCAGACCTCTGCTGCTCCTCCTCTGTGCCCTGCCCTGCTTTCCATTCCCCTCTTCCTCACCCACCCCAAGGTTTCACTGTCCCTAGACAATCAGCACACCATCCTCTCCTCCAGGAAGCTTTCCCTTGGCCACCTCCTTACCCTACTCTTAACAGGGTTCCTGCCCCCAGTGCCCTCTGCTTCCCTGTCACGACACCATCTCTCACTCTGAGTTATGAGGCCTTCCAGGGCAGAGGCCCATGGTGTTTATTTCCGTATTGTTAGTACCTATGATTTCAGGGGACTTTGGGTTAATGTGCTGAAAGTAAACTCTATTTTGCAAATAGATTTTTCTTTTGCTTCAGTCCCCTCCTCTTACCATTAAAAATTTTTAATTTTATTTACTTATTTATTTTTGAGACAAGGTCTTAACTCTGTTACCTAGGCTGGAGTGCACTAGCATGAACATGGCTCACTGAAGCCTCGACCTCCTGGGCTTAAGTGACCCCCCCAACTCAGCCTCCTGAGTAGCTGGGACTACAGGCTCACACCACCTCATCCCACTAATTTTTAAATATTTTGTAGAGACAGGGTTCCACTCTGTTGCACAGGCTGTTCTTGAACTCCTGGGTTCAAGCAATCCTCCCACTCAGCCGCTCACAGTGCTGGGATTACAGGCATGGGCCACTGCAACTGGTCACTCCTACCAATTTTCAGTCTCAGCTGCAGCAGCAGGGAGCAGAGACAAACTGAACAGTTTTTATTTTATTTTATATTTTATTTTATTTTATTTTAAGACAGAGTCTCGCTGTGTCACCCAGGCTGGAGTGCAGTGGTGCGATCTCGGCTCACTGCAACCTCTGCCTCCTGGGTTCAAGTGATTCTCATGCCTCAGCCTTCTGAGTAGCTGGGATTATAGGTGCATGCCACCATGCCTGGCTGATTTTTGTATTTTTAGTAGAGACGAGGTTTCATCATGTTGGCCAGGCTGGTCTTGAACTTCTGACCTCAAGTGATCTGCCCGCCTCAGCCTCCCAAAGTGCTGGAATTAAAGGCGTGAGCCACGGGGCTCAGACCAAATTCAACAGTCTTTAAAATGTAAACTGCCTCACTGAAAGTGGACAGTTACATGATGCAAGTACATTCCATGAATTGGCCATGAGGCAAGCTGGCTTTCAGGGAACTGAACTGCAGATGACTGGCATTCAGCAAATTGGCCTGGTTCTGTTACAGTGCTTGGCACATGGGCATGTGGTAAGTTAGTTATTACCATTGCTCTTACTACCAATGGAATTAGTGAACATTTGTTGAATAAACTGAGGTCATTTGTGCACTGTGGTTTAAAATTATGAATGAACAGCAAAACAAAAGAAGCTCCTGCCTTCCCCTCTAAAACACTCTTCCCTTTTTCCTTGTCAGGCTACAAAAATCTGACTCATTCTTCAAGACCTAGTTCCAGAGCCACCTCCTCCAGGAAAACTTCCAAGTCCTCCAGGCAAAAGTTCTATTTTTTTATAGCCTCCCCCATTTCATAGGACTGTAAGGATTTGTTTATTACCTCCATCTGTTCTATGGAACTGTAAACTCCTCATGTGCATACACTCATGTGCACATGAAATTGCACATGAAATTGCATAGGAGGGGGATATAGTATTCAGGGTTTCCCAACTACTTTGACCAGGCAACACTACATAGTAAAGCATATCTGTGGAACTTAGGTTCTAAAGAACATTCTTTCAAAAACACAGGATAGGCCAGGCACAGTGGCTCATGCCTGTAATCCCAGCATTTTGGAAGGCCGAAGTGGGTGGATCACTTGAGTCCAGGAGTTCGAGACCAGCCTGGGCAACATGGTGAAACCCCACCTCTACAAAAAATGCAAAAATTAGCCGAGCATTGTGGTGTGCACTTGTTGTCCCAGGTACTAAGGAGGCTAAGGTGGGAGGATGGCTTGAGCCTGGTAAATCGAGGATGCAGTGAGTCGTGATCATACCCCTACACTCCAGCGTGGGCAGTAGAGTGAGACTCTGTCTCAAAAAAAAAAAAAAAAAAAAAAAAAGAGAAAAAGAAAAACAAGAAAAACACGGAATAAACCAACTGCCTCAGGTGCCTTCTCTACCTGCTGCATCTAGGCCCTGGGCCGAGCATGCTGAGGAATCCAGAGATAAATCAGACACACACCCTCTCCTGAGGCTCTCCACTGGGCAGGGAAATAAGACTTGTGCTTAGGTACCAGGTGCTGAGCAGGAAGCAGCAGTGTCCAAGGAGAGGTGCAGACAGAGAGCCATGAGCCGAAGGGAGAGAGCACATGCCTAGCTGTAGGAAGCTGAGGTGGCTTCATGGAGGACAAGGTGTCAGGAGAGCTGGACCCACATGAATGAGGGGGATATAGACGACGATGGAGAGGGGAAGGGCATTCTTGACCAGCCGATGTCAGCAAAGGCAAAGACAAGGGAAAGTACAAGAGATGTACAAGGCCCAACAGTTTGTCCGAAAGAAATGAGTGTGGCGGGGAGCTCAGAGGTAGAATTGAGAAGAAAAGCTAGAGCCTGACCAGGGAGGACCTGGAATCCAAGGCTGAGCCTGGGCTTCATCCTAAATGCAGAGGGGAGCTGCTGAAAGTGGTTGAGCTGGTATGTACTCAGAGAAGAGCAATCTGGCAGCCATTCACAAGCTGGGCTGGCTGAGTGGGCAAGTCGGGGAGAAGGAAGTTCTGGCAGGAAGAGAAGCTGGGAGGACAAAAAAGAGAAAACTGGAACGGTCAAGAACTCAAGTCGACGAAACTGGTTTTCCTGGACTGGGGAGTGGATGGAGTTAGAGAGAGAAAACTGAGACTTTTTTAAATTTGTGACAGCGTCTCACTCTGTTGCCCAGGCTGGAATGCAGTGGCACAATCTTGACTCACTGCAATCTCCGCCACCGGGGTTCAAGAGATTCTTCTGCCTCAGCCTCCCGAGTAGCTGGGATTACAGGTGCACACCACCACGCCTGGCTAATTTTTGTATTTTTAGTAGAGACGGGGTTTCATCATGTTGGCCAGGATGGTCTCGAACTCCTGACCTCATGATCTGCCAGCCTCAATCTCCCAAAGTGCCGGGATTACAGGCGTGAACCATCACGCCCAGCCGAGAGCTCTTTAACAAGTATTTACTGAGCAGCTACCATGTGCCACCATCAGGCATGGGTGTAATAGTGGGTGAGAGCAATGGTCTCGACCTGCATTGAGTTTGCAGACTAGTGAGGGAAGCAGACATGAATCCTAGCCAGCCGTACATAATTACAAACCGCGACAGGTGTAATAAAGAAAAGTTTAGGATGTTAAGCAGGCAGATGAGAGAGGGTAGCCTAGTATGGGAGAGTTGGGCTTGGCTTCTCGAAAGAAGCGTCATTGAGCAACAGTCTGAAGATTGAACAAGAGTTAACCAGGCAGAGAGGTGGGCAAAGAGCAGCCCAGGCAGATCAGCCTGTACAGTAAGAGCAGTGTTCCAGGGGCTGAAATGCCAGACTGGATGGTTTGTGATTTGAGTGCCTGGGAAGGTGGTGATGTTACTTAGAGAAACAATCCACAAGAAGTTCTAGTTTCAGGAAGCAGGAAGAGGACAAGAAGGTCCAAAAGGAGCAGCAAAAGTAGTAGGAGAATTCAGGACTTTCCAACCCATCTCTTCATCCCCCTCTACCACTGCTATTTCAAGCACCCCTCAAGTGTGTGGCAGCCTCCTGACCTTGCATAAACTCCCAAATGTTGCACCTCTGTCCTGAGAGGCGGACCACCGGGCAGTTTGGGGCCAGACCCCCTAGCTCAGTCGTGTCCTCTAGTCGCTGCCAACGGACCTTCAAGACGAACCAGAAATACTGGGTGCTGAAAAAGGTTGGTATCCAGTTGTCGTGGCTGAAATGGGGGTTCCTGGTCATACCCGTCTTCTCGCCCATGGCCAGGATGTTCCGCTTGACTCTGTCTGGAAACAATATCAGAAGCACTTTACCCACGACCACATGCACAGCCACCTCCAAGAGCACCCAGAGCCTCTTCAGCCACAGCCCTGGCTGGGGCAGCCCCATCTCGGCAAAGCCAGAGTAAGCTCTGAGTTCTATGGGCAGAGAGGCTGCAGCCAGGCAACACTGGGCGGAGCTGAATGAAGGTGCAGGGTAGGAGCAGCCAACCCCGGGTCAGGGGAAGGAGTCAGGTCAGAAGATGTTTGCCTTTCTGTCATGAGATAGAAAATTCCTAACCAGGTGCACAAAGGTCTGTTTTAATCATTATCATTTCCAATTCTTTGCCTGAGCTTTTGAGAGATTCTTGGATTGGTAGATTCCACATCTTAAATTCTCCCTCTGATTAATTTTTTAAAAAACAAGTACTTAAAAAGACCACACTTAAAGAGAACCTGTTAGATGCTCTCTCACAAGTCAGTAGATTTGGCTATTAGTTATTCTTTATACACAAACTCTTCTTTTACTAATGAAAGATGTTTTTCCCAACAAAGATCTTTGTTTTCCCAACAAACATCCATGGTTTTTTGTTGTTGTTGCTGGAGATGGAGTCTCGCTCTGTCGCCCAGGCTGGAGTGCAGTGGCACGATCTTGGCTCACTGCAACCTCTGCCTCCCAGGTTCAAGCAGTTATCCTGCCTCAACCTCCTGAGTAGCTGGGATTACAGGCGCCTGCCACCACGCCTGGCTAATTTTTGTATTTTTAGTAGAGACAGGGTTTCACCGTGTTGGTCAGGCTGGTCTTGAACTCCTGACCTCAGATGACCTACCCGCCTTGGCCTCCAAAAGTGCTGGGATTACAGGCTCGAGCCACCGCACCCGGCCCCCAATCATGGCTTCTAGCTGGTGGTTGACTATTTCTGTAGTCAGAGCCCTCCCCAGGGGATATGGATCTCAAACCTCCCAGGGCAGAGACAGAAATGGGACCATTTCTAACAAAACCTGGGGCCTGCAACTCCCCTTAGCACTGGGCATAGAGTGACAAATAAAACACCCTCTTCTCTCAAGGAAGTCATGGTCTAGTGCGGGGAATAGACAAGTAAACAAAAAACTACCATTTCCTAAATGAAGTCCAGAGGCGGAGGGTGTGCGTGGGCTACGAGAGCAGGGAGAAGGGGAAGCTAATTCTGGTTAGAGAAGTCAAGAGGACTTCACTGAGGAAGTGATTTCTATGCTGAAACCAGAAAGACGGCAAGCAGTCAGCTGGCTAAAGTGGGGATAGTGTCCTGGTGGAAGGAACCACATGGCCAAAGGCCCAGAAGCCAGAGACAGCATGGCTCATTGGAGAAACTGAAAGAAGAATCATAGAGCTCAGAGTTGGGAAGTGTTTTAAAATACACCCAAGACCTTTTTTTTTTTAAATAATTGAGACGGGGTTTCCTTCCTCTGTCACCAGGCTGGAGGGCAGTGGTGTGATCATAGCTCACTGCAGCCTCAAACTCCTGGCTCAAGCCATCCTCTCACCTCAGCCAGAGTAGTTAGGACTACAGGAGTGCCACCCAAACCCGGCAAATTTTGTGACTGTTATAGCTTCTCCTTATGTTGCCCAGGCTGGTCTTGAACTCTTGACCTCAAACAATCCTCCTTCCTTGATCTCTCAAAATGCTGGGATTATGGGAATGAGCCACCATGCCCAGCCCCCAACTTCTTAAAGTAATCAGGGCTGATTTTCCCCACCATGTGTCACTCTTTATTTATTTATTTTTGAGACAGAGCCTCGCTCTGTTGTCCAGGCTGGAGTGTAGTGGCACAATCTCGGCTCACTGCAACCTCCGCCTCCCAGGTTCAAGCAATTCTCCTGCCTCAGCCTCCCAAGTAGCTGGGATTACAGGCGTGTGCCACCATGCCCAGCTAATTTTTGTGTTTTCAGTAGAGATGGGTTTCGCCATGTTGGCCAGGTTGGTCTCGAATTCCTGACCTCAGGTGATCCGCCCACCTTGGCCTCCGAAAGTGCTGGGATTACAGGCGTGAGACACCGCGCCCAGCCGGCACTCTTTTCTTTACCTGCTGGTGCAGTGGTATGAGAAGCCAAAAATGCCTAAGTGGTAGTTACAGCTTCCAATTCAGTGGAACTGTAACTGGAATGGAAGTGTTCTCTCTCCGCCTTCCCTGCTTCCCTGGGACCAGGATCTCCAACCAAGCAGAACTTAAACTTGTGACGCAGGAGGCACACATTCTATGTGTGTAGGTTTCACTGAAAGTGATAGTAAGAAGTGCTACCCCTTGGTTTGCAAATCTATAGGTATTTAGAACAAAGTACCATTATAAATAATTGATAAACCATTGGTTTAGTACATGTACTACATGCCGGAGGACAATGCCCCAGTCTCCTGAGTATTTTCCCCAACCTGGAGCCCTAACTGTGCCTTTAACAAGCCATTCCACCATCCTATTAGGCCACCTACTATTGGATGACTGAGTCACATGGTAAGACCAGTGGGTAAGACCCATGGTTATGTGTCACTGTTGCATGTTCTTTACAATTAAATTGGTCCCTTAGTCCAAAGCAATGTTGTGCAGGTAATCATTGCAGGATCCGTAAGCAAGAGGACTTTGCTTTCCTTTAACAAGGGGGAAAGGACTACTTCTGCCACAGCCACCTTTCCCTTGAAAGATTCAAGGGAAACTGGAAACGAGGGATGGTCAAGTCTCAGGCTTTCCTACCCAAATATCCTCATCCCAGTTCTCAGGTTCCCATTCATTTTCTGACAATGCCCCAGCTTTGATGGAGGAGACCTACAGAGGCTGTGCATTCAGTCTTCGTTGAAACTTTGCCACCCTTACAATTAGATCTTGGGCCTGATTTTCAGTCCAGTCTTTCTCAAGGCTATAGAAGAATAAGAATCTTCAAAGCTGCCATAGAGGCTCTCTAGCTTTCACAAAGTGCCTCAAGTTGACAGTTGGCTGTTCTAAGTCTGTCATTTTATTTTCAAGGTTTCCAATGGAGTTAAGAACACCCAGTCCATTCCATAGTCCTTATAATTACCATTGTCCTCTTAATGTTCCTGTGCCACAGCCACTAGATAACTCAGCACCTTATCTTCTACCTGCACGTTATCCCAATCAACTGCAGACAGACACCTTAGTAATTGTGATGCCATTCTATTCTAAGTGTTATCACACCACCACCACCCCCCTCCTTCTCTCTCCCCTTAACACCAGCAATATATTTGTTGTTGCCATGTGACTGGTGCGCAGTTCAGTTAGAAAATGCCAACCTAAGGTTTTATTTTCTGGGGCCACTTTTGGTACCAACATGCCTTCATATTGCTTCCTCATATGAGTAGTTTATTGGCAAGTATGAATCCAAGCACCAGGAGTGAAGTACAGGGCTTGTATATCAGGGAAGGAAGGAGACCCATTGCGAAGATGCATTGTCAAATGCGTCACTTCCAAAGGCATTTGGTTGCTTAATCCTGCTAGGTAGTTTGAAAGCTATATGAAAGGGCGCCTGAGGGGGAAAAACAGGAAAAGCATATATTCATCAAGTGTTGACCCCATTGGTCAGAGATTTGCCTCATGAGACATTAACAACTCTCTACCCCTACACTTCTGGGATGCACCTGTCTGGGTGCTGATTGGCTCCAGCAAGGTCCCATGGCCCCATCGCATGAAGAAACAAGCCTCGAAGCAGAAAGTGAGAAGCCTGAGGCATAGACTGGAGGCAAGCTCACTCAGGTTATATCTGCTGACGCTGGAATAAGATGAGTGGCGGTGAAATAAGCAGCAGGTGAGGCCAAGATGATCTGAAATGGGACATAAGAGGTGGCTGATATACTAGCACAGCTGAATTCATGAACTGAGATTCATTCCTGGTACATACTCAACCAAAAGTGCCCTGCACATGCTCTAAGCCTCAGCTTTCTCTTTGTAAAATGAGGATAATCACCCCAAGATAGCAGGATTGTTCTGAGAATTAGAGATCCTGCATGTACAAAGCCTGATCATGATCATCTTGGGGAAAAAAATACACTATATATGGCTATTATTAGATGTAAAGTCTTTCCAAGCGCTCACTTACTGGGGGTGCTCATACGAACAGACATCGCGCTTTCGATCACTCATTCAGAATGTAATTGACTCATCATGTACTTTCTCACCAGTGAAATTTTTGTGGCCAAAAGAAACTGAGGGACTGGTGACGCGGGTGACTTAATTTTTTCTTTCACAATCGTCTTTCATCACCCGATTTTATATTTCCTTAGGAAAAGAGGTATAAACACACAGTAAGAAAACCCTAAACTCGAGAATTTTCTACGTTCCCTGGAGCAAGGCCAGCCCAAGTAGTCACACTCAGCGACCCCACCACTCCGCCCTCGCCTGTCTCTTTAAGAACTCGAGGCTCAGCCTCGGGAGAAGGGCGGGCGGGAGCGGGCTCTGCGCGCCGCAGCACGCAGGTTTCTCTGGGAGCTGCTGTCTCTTTAAGGAGGCGGGGCTCTTCCCGGAGGAGGCGGAGAGGTTCCGCCCCCCGGATCTCCGGCTTCCGGCAACTGGGCTGGACCGAAACCGGCGCGGAGCAACTGAGGCCCGAGCCTTCTCGGGACCCGGGGGACGCCTAACCCCGCGAGGTGAGGCTGCCGAGTTTGCGGGACCTGTACGAGGCTAAGGGGGTTCAGGATCTCCTGCCCGCCCGGGCCGCCGCGGCCCAGCTCCTCTCCCTGAAACACTGCCTCTGCTTCGCGGTGTCCCGGGCTGCAGGGTCGCCGACACCCCATTGCCTACTAATTGCCTGACTCCGCTCTAGGCTCCTTACACGCACTCCCATTTAATGACCCCCGCACTGTGTGACTAGGTATCGTTATGCACCCATTTTACAGATGAGGAAACTGAGGCCGCGAGGAGCGCGCATACAGCAGAGAAGCAGCAGAATCGGGAATCAAACCCAGCTCTGTCTGACCCCAGAGCCTGTGCCTTTAACCACTGGCTAGGCTGAACTGCCTTTGTTCTTCACTGTCCCCATCACCTCTTTCAAACCTCAGCCTCTCCTTCCTCATCGTTACATCTCTAGGCTGCACCTGCTCTCTAAACATTCACACAGTGAGTTGAGATTCATTCCTGGTACATACACAACCAAATAAGGTTGAATTGGAACCTTTGGATCCCCGGGGTTAGTTTCTTTGTTACAGTTTTAATATTTAATAATACCTGATGCTTAGTGGTTATCTTTATATAAACCTATTAAACCCCACTGAAAAGGGAGGCAAGGGAAAGTGATACCATTTCTAATACATAAGAGTTGTTTGCAGATACTTTATACTGTCATCCTATTATGTTTACCTATTTTTTTCTTTTAGAACCCTGCAAATTTTCTTCCTCATAATTGGGAGAAGACTCACTGGCCGAATGGCAGCAGTAGATGACTTGCAATTTGAAGGTATACCAGTTGGGTGCCCACCTTTATATTTATGATCACTGTTGCTACAGTCACAGCAAGTATTTTCATTCCTATACTGCCTCACACATTGAAGGATATTATTTCAAACATCTTGGTGGCTGTTGGCCACATCCAGGTGTTTCCTGTTTGTCCACACCAGCTGTTTTTGTTTTTGTTTTTTTTGCCAGATAACCCTTCAGATTGGTAACGAGTATCATAAATTTAGTACAGTGATTACAGAAAATGCTTACACAGTTCCTGCTTTAGTTCAGAAAACATTTATTGAGCACTTACTTTGTGCTTAGAACCGTACAAGATACTGGAGACAAAAAGATGAAGAAGTTTATCCACTGGTGGAGTAGATAAAAATGTAAAAAGATCATTAGGATGAAATGTGATCAGATCATTCCCTCATTGAATCAGTAAATATCTCCTGGTTGTGACCAGGAACCGGGCAATTGTTCTAGTTATCAGGGATAGAAGAGTGAACAAAATAGTTTCCTTGTGAAGCTCTCAGTCTAGTGAGGGGGACATGTATTTATTAAATGATCATTTAAATATATACCTACAAACTATGAAAGTGCTGGAGGAAAAGTTCAAGGAGATATTAGGACTCATAACCCAGAGCCTGACTTAGGCTAGGGATTGATGAACACTTGTTTGTTTGTTTGTTTGTTTCTTTTGATGGAGTCTCACTCTGTTGCCCAGGCTGGAGTGCCTTGGCTCGATCTTGGCTTGCTGCAACCTCTGCCTCCCGGGTTCAGACGATTCTCCTGCCTCAGCCTTCTGAGTAGCTGGAACTACAGGTGCCCGTCACCACACCCGACTAATTTTTGTATTTTTAGTAGAGACGGGGCTTCACCATATTGGCCAGGCTGGTCTCGAACTTCTGACCTTGTGATCCACCCATCTTGGCCTTCCAAAGTGCTGGGATTACAGGCATGAACCACCAGGCCTGGCCCACTTACTTGTTTTATTAACACCTTACCTAACATTTACTATATGTCAGGCACTGTTCTAAATCCTGTACAGATAATCCTTATGTCAACTTTATGAAATAGTTACTTTATTCCCCTGTTTTATTAATGAGGAGACTGAGGCACAGAAAAATAATTTGCCTAATGGTCACGCAGTTAGTAAGGGATAAAATCAGGATTTGAACCCATCCAGTCTGGTATCACAGCTTATGCTGTCTCTGTTATCTAAGGAAGAGATACACTGTTTAAAGATAAATCTATTTCATTTGCAAGTACTAGAAATCCACCTCAATTTGCAAATACTGTCAACCTCGTCTTCAAAATTCATCTAGCATCTGACCACCTCCACCACTACTCTCACCATGCTCAAGGTCACTGTCACCTTTTTTCTGAATTATAGCCTTTACCTTCCTTCTGGTCTTTCTGCTTCCTCCCTTATCCCTCTACAGTCTGTACTTTGCAGCCAGAGTAGTCCTTCTAAAACTCAAGCAGATCATGTCATTCTTTCAGAACCTTCCAGTAGCTCCCATCTCACTAGAAGAAAAAGCCAGGCTGGGCGCAGTGGCTCACACCTGTAATCCCAGCACTTTGGGAGGCCGAGGAGGGCAGATCACCTGAGGTCAGGAGTTCGAGACCAGTCTGGCCAACATGGTGAAACCCTGTCTCCACTAAAAATACAAAAATTAGCTGGGCATGGTGGTGCACGCCTGTAATCCCAGCTACTCTGGAGGCTGAGGCAGGAGAATTGCTCAAACCCAGAGGTTGCAGTGAACCGAGATCGCACCACTGTGCTCCAGCCTGGGCGACAGAGCGAGACTCCATCTCAAACATAAACAAACAAACACAAAAACGAAAAAGCCAGAGCCCTTACTGTGGCTTAGGAGGCCCCTATATGATGCAGCCTCCAACCCTCTGATTTCATCTGCTGCTCTCGTCCTTTCTGTCTCTGCCCAAGCTGCATGGGCTGTCACGGTTCTTCCTATGCACCAAGTACATTCACAGCTTGGGATGTTTGTGCCATCTTTCTGTGTGGGACATTCTCCCTTCAGATAGCCTTATGGCTTGCTTCTTTGCTCTGTTCAAATCTCTCCTCATTAGAGAGACCCTCCTCAGCCATCCTATCTAGGAGTGCAGTGCAAGAAAGTTTAAAGACAGTGGCCCTCGCAAAAGCCCCTGTGGAGTGAGGAAGTTTAATTTTTTTCCTAAAGGATTGGGAGAACACTTGTGTTCCAGATCACGGATGGTGGGGAAAGCTGACACAAGGTGAGGCTTAGGAGGAGGCAGGTGACAAATCACCCAGGGCTTTATCAACTGTGTTAAGGACTTGGGTCTTTAGAAAAGCACACAGGATGCTGGGGGTGGGGTGGCGGGGGGTGGGTCATGAAAGGCTTCTCCGGGGAGGAACGGTAGTATTGGATGAAAAAGTAGAGGTCAGAAGCCTTCAGGTGAAAGGCATTGTTTCAGGAAAGGAGCAGAGGCTGAAACTAGCTTAGGATATGCCAGGATGTAAAAGCAGAGAATGTTGGTGGCAGAAATAAGACACATACCAGTTTTATGCTCAAGGAGCTGAGATGGACAAGAATAACCAGCACAGAGCAGACTGTGTGAAGAGTCGTCATGTTAGGGGTACACGCAGCCCACACTCCAGTCAAACTATGCCGTCACTGTCCCTCCATCACGGGCACACTTTCCATCTTCTGGGTCTTGCTCATCCCCTTCCCTTTGCATGAGATGCCATCCCCAGCACCTCTGGCCATCCTTCTCATATGGTATCTTCTCCAAGAAACCTTTCCTGATCCCAATAACTAGAGGAGTTATCGCCCTCCTTGGGGCCTTTTTGACCTTTGTGCTTCTAAAGTGGTACTGTCTGTTCCTCCTTCTGGCATTCCTTCCCCCTGGTAAACTACTGCTTTTTAAAAATTTTTTAATTTTCATGGGTATGTAGTAGGTATATATACTTACAGGGTACACTCATATATTTTGATACAGGCATGTAATGTGTAGTAATTGCATCAGGGTAAACAGGGTGTCCATCACTTCAAGCATTTATCCTTTGTATTACAAACAATCCAATTATACTCTTTTTCTCTCTTTTTTTTTTTTTTTTTTTGAGACCGAGTCTCGCTCTGTCACCCAGGCTGGAGTGCAGTGACATGATCTCAGATCATTGCATCCTTCACCTCCCATTTCAAGCGATTCTTGTGCCTCACCCTCCTGAGTAGCTGGGATTACACGTGTCCACCAACATGCCTAGCTAATTTTTATGTTTTTAGTAGAGATGGGTTTTTACCATGTTGGCCAGCCTGGTCTCGAACTCCTGACCTCAAGTGATCTGCTCGCCTCAGCCTCCCAAAGTGCTGGGATTACAGGCGTGAGCCACTGCATCCAGCCCAGTTATACTTTACTTTTCTTTCTTTTTTTGTGAGACAGAGTCTCACTCTGTTGCCAGGCTGGAGTGCAGTGGTGCGATCTCGGCTCACTGCAACCTCTGCCTCCTGGGTTCAAGCGATTCTCCTGCCTCAGCGTCCCAAGTAGCTGGGACCACCAGTTTGTGTGTGCCACCACGCCCAGCTTCAGTTATACTTTTCTAGTTATTTTAACTACTGCTTTTTAACTGTGAGAGTTAAGTATATCTTCCTTGGTCTAATTCCCTCCAGCAAAGTTGTGACTATCTTTTTAAATGTCATTGCCCTGTACAATCAATAAGAGGTACCTGTAATGATAGTTATTATTTCATCATCCTCAAAATCTCTTTGTGGGGTAGGTATTATCTATGTTTTATAATTGAAGAAACAGAGACTCAGAGCCATGGAGTAATTTGCTCAAGGTCATGGAGCTACTGAGTATTAAGAGTCTTACCTTGAACAAAGGACCATCTCACTCCAGAACCTCATGTTGCTTAAACTACCCAAACATTGCCAATTGAGGCTTCAGTAATTGTTGCATATTAGCTACCTGATTAATTTCAGTCACTTTAGTGTTCTCCATAAAACTGCTCATATAGTTGAGAGGCAATAAGAGTGAACTCAGCTGTCCTACTGCTAGGACTGGTGCCCTGCTTGTAGTGTTATAATGGTGCCCTGCTGGCACTCTTCCTTTGGCCTTCGAAGGTTCAGAGCTGCCCTGAATTTTATTCAAGAGCAGCTGAAATAAAGTATGTTAGGATATTCGGAGACAGGAAGTCTCAATCACTGCTGGTGGACACAAGTAGGTAAGGTTCTTTTGGAAAGCAGTTTGGTAACATGGTTCAGGATCCTTGAAAATGGTTTGCACCCTGTTGACCTAGTGATCACACTGATAGGTGTTCATCTTAAGGCTGCCCCCCAAAAAGCTTTTTCTACACAGACACTCCTTTTGTATTTGTAAGAAAACCTTCATTGATGGAATATTATGCAGTCACATAAGTGATCATTTTAAGAGACTGTTATATGAAAAATCATTTTTGTGTATAATCCCCAATTTTACATAATCTTGACAAAGCAGGATGCAAAATTAATTATAGTATCATGTTCTAGATCAGTACTTGGCACATTGTGGGCATGCAGTAAATATTTGTTGAATAAATGAATGATCATCAGTGGCATGAATCTCACTATGTGAAGAAAAGGAAATATACTAAAATGTTAATAGTGTTTGCCTTTATGTGGTAGAACTAAGAGTGTTTTTTTGTTTTTTGGGTTTTTTTTTTTTTTTTTGAGACAAAGTCTTACTCTCTTGCCCAGGCTGGAGTACAGTGGTATGATCACGGCTCACTGCAGCCTCTACCTCTGAGGCTCGAGCAGTCCTCTTGCCTTGGCCTCCCAAAGTGCTGGAATTATAGACATGAGCCACCATGCCTGGCCTAAGAGTGGTTTTTATCCTGTGATTTCTACTTTCTTTTTTCCTTTTTTTTTGAGACATAGTCTCACTCTGTCACACAGGCTGGAGTGCAGTGGTGTGATCTCGGCTCACTGCAACCTTTGCCTCCTGGGTTCAAGTGATTCTCCTGTCTCAGCCTCCAGCATAACTGGGATTACAAGGCATGTGCCACTACACCCGGCTAATTTTTGTATTTTTAGTAGAGACAGCATTTCACCATGTTGGCCAGGCTGGTCGAACTCCTGACCTCAGGTGATCCGCCTGCCTTGGCCTCCCAAAGTGCTGGGATTACAGGCGTGAGTCACTGTGCGCAGCTGATCCCACTTTCATTTTTGTTCCCATATTTTCTGTAGTGATTATGTAGACTTACTGGAAAAAATAACCTTCATTAAAATTTTTTGGACTTGAATCAAAGAAGTAAAGTTTAGGACTTAGATTATATTCCTTGTTCTCCCAAAATTATTTAAAATAAATGTTATTCTCCCCATGATACAGATGAAAACACTGAGGTTTAGAGGGGTTTAGTTACTTACTCAGGCTTGTGTATTTAGTAAGTGGCTAGCTGAGCCAGAACCAAAATCTAGGTCTGACTCCAAATTCTGTTGTCTTCATAGTCATTTTTCTATATCAGATTGATCTCCTGATGAGATTTTTTGTTTTTCAAAGCTTTTGCCCTTTGTATCAGGTAGGGTCTATAGCAAAGCTGAGGTTGTGACAGCTTGTCTTTAAATTCAAAGTATAGCATTTCTAGTGTGGGTAAGGTTTCTGAGGCCCGTGTGCTCTAATTGATTTCAGAATTTGGCAATGCAGCCACTTCTCTGACAGCAAACCCAGATGCCACCACAGTAAACATTGAGGATCCTGGTGAAACCCCAAAACATCAGCCAGGATCCCCAAGAGGCTCAGGAAGAGAAGAAGATGATGAGTTACTGGGAAATGATGACTCTGACAAAACTGAGGTTTGAACTTGTCTTTGAGATATTTTTTAAACAATTTTTAAAGCTTGTTTATGTGCTTATTCACTGTCTACTGTGTGCCAGGTACAGTGTCAGGCAATGACAGCTCAGAGGTAAATGACACATGGCCTCTTCCTTGGTGGGGGAAACAGGCAAACAGACCATTACTTTCCGTAAGTACACTTGTGGAGGGGAACACTGGGGTAGTGAGCAGAGATCCTAGCTTATGGAATGTGGGACTCCCATGCTCAATATTTTCTAATATTAGAGTAGGAAAGAACCTTCATGGCCCTCTGTTTTAGCCTCTCTCCTGAGATATTGATGCTGTCCTTGCTATGTAGGAAAGATAACACTTGGAGCCAGGCGTGGTGGCTCACGCATATAATCCCAGCATTTTGGGAGGCTGAGGCGGGCAGATCACTTGAGCCCAGGAGTTCGAGACCAGCCTGGGCAACATGGTGAAACTCCACCTCTACAAAAAGTACAAAATATTAGCCGAGTATGGTGGTGGACACCTGTAGCCCCAGCTACTCGGGAAACTAAGGTGGGAGGATTGCTTGAGCTTGGGGAGTAGAGGTTGCAGTGAGCTGAGATTGCACCACTACACTCCAGCCTCGGCAACAGAGTGAGACCCTGTCTCCAGAAGAAAGAAAAAAAAAAAAAGGAAAGATTGAAAACACTTGCTTGAGTACCTCCAGGAATGGGCTGTTTACCACCATGTAAGGCAGTTGCTGCCACTGTCGACTTTAATTGTGAAAATGTTTTTCTTTAATGTTTTTTCTTCGACTTTTATTTTAACTTCAGGGGTCATGTGCAGGAGGTACAGGTTTGTTACATAGGTAAACATGTGCCACAGTGGTTTGCTGCACAGATCACCCCATCACCTAGGTATTAAGCCCAGCATCCATTAGCTCTTCTTCCTGATGCTCCCCCTCCCATGTGTCCATGTGTTCTCACCATTCAGCTCCCACTTATAAGTGAGAAGATGTGGTGTTTGGTTTTCTGTTCCTGTGTTAGTTTGCTAAGGATAATGGCTTCCAACTCCATCCATGTCCCTGCAAAGGACATGATCTCATTCCTTTTTCTGGCTGCGTAGTATTCCATGGTTGTATATATACCATATTTTCTTTATCCAGTCTATCATTGATGGGCATTTAGGTTGATTCCGTATCTTTGCTATTGTGAATAGTGCTGCAGTGAACATAAATGTGCATGTATCTTTATAATAGAATGATTTATATTTCTCTGGGTATATACCCAGTAATGGGATTGCTGGGTCAAATAGTATTTCTGCCTCTAGGTCTTTGAGGAATCGCCACACTGTCTTCCACAATGGTTGAACTAATTTACACTCCCACCAACAGTGTAAAAGCATTCCTTTTTCTCCGCAACTTCACTAGCATCTGTTGTTTCTTGACTTTTTAATAATCACCATTCTGACTGGCATGATATGGTGTCTCATTGTGGTTTTGATTTGCATTTCTCAAATCAAGATATTGAGCTTTCTTTCATATGTTTTTTGGCCACATGTATGTCTTTTGAGAAGTGTCTGTTCATGTCCCTTGCCCACTTTTTAATGGAGTTGTTTTTTCCTTGTAAATTTGCTTAAGTACTTTGTAGACTCTGGATATTAGACCTTTGTTAGATGGATAGATTGCAAAAATTTTCTCTCATTCTGTAGGTTGTCTGTTCACTCTGAAGATAGTTTCTTTTGCTGTGCAGAAGCTCTTTAGTTTAATTAGATCCCATTTGTCAATTTTTGCTTTTGTTGCAATTGCTTTTGGTGTTTTCATCATGAAATCTTTGCCCATGCCTATGTCCTGATTGGTATTCCCTAGATTTTCTTTCTTTTTCTTTTTTTTTTTTTTTTTGAGATGGAGTCTTGCTTTGTCGCCTAGGCTGGAGGCTCATTGCAACCTCCGCCTCCTGGGTTCAAGCGATTCTCCTGCCTCAGCCTCCCAAGCAGCTGGGACTACAGGCACGTGCCACCATGCCCAACTAATTTTTGTATTTTTAGTAGAGACGGGGTTTCACCATATTGGCCAGGCTGGTCTCGAACTCCTTACCTCATGATCCACCCATCTTGGCCTCCCAAAGTGCTGGGATTACAGGCATGAGCCACCGCGCCCAGCTGGTATTCCCTAGATTCTCTTCTAGGGTTTTTTTAGTTTTGTGTTTTACATTTAAGTCTTTAATCCACCTTGAGTTAATTTTTGCTTATGGTATAAGGAAGGGGTCCAGTTTCAGTTTTCTGCATATGGCTAGCCAGTTCTCCCAGCACTATTTATTGAATAGGGAATCCTTTCCCCATTGCTTGTTTTTGTCAGGTTTTTCGAAGATCAGATGGTTGTAGACGTGCATTCTTATTTCTGAGTTCTCTGTTCTGTTTCATTGGTCTATGTGTCTGTTCTTGTACCAGTACCATGCTGTTTTGGTTACTGTAGACTTGTAGTTTAGTTTGAAGTCAGGTAGCATGATGCCTCCAGCTTTGTTCTTTTTGCTTAGGATTGTCTTGACTATTTGGGCTCTCTTTTGATTCCATATGAATTTTAAAATAGTTTTTTTCTAATTCCGTGAAGAATGTCAATGGTAGTTTACTGGGAGTGGCATTGAATCTATAAATTACTTTGGGCAGTATGCCATTTGCACAATACTGATTCTTCCTAACTATGAGCATGGAATGTTTTTCCATTTGTTTGTGTCCTCTCTTATTTCTTTGAGCAGTAGTTTATAGTTTTCTTTGAAGAGGTCCTTTACTTCCCTTGTTCCTAGGTATTTTATTCTTTTTGTAGCAGTTCATTCATACAAAAGAACGAGAGTTCATTCATAATTTGGCCCTCTGCTTGCCTGTTGTCGGTGTATAGGAATACTAACAATTTTTGCACATTGATTTTGTATCCTGAGACTTTGCTGAAGTTGCTTACCAGCTTAAGAAGCTTTTGGGCTGAGATGATGGGGTTTTTTAGATATAGAAACATGTCATCTTGCAAACAAAGGTGATTTGACTTACTCTCTTCCTATTTGAATACCCTCTTCCTATTTGAATACCCTTTATTTGTTTCTCTTCCCTGATTGCCCTGGCCAGAACTTCTAATACTATTGAATAGGAGTGATAAGAGAGGGCATCCATGTCTTGTGCTGGTTTTCAAGGGGAATGCTTTCCTTGGTTGGGGATGGGTGTTCCTTTGTCTCCGTGCTGCTCCTGGGTGAGCCATCGCCCCACCCTGCTTTTCTTCATTCTCCGTGGGTCGAGCTACTTGCCTAGTCAGTCCCAATGCAAGAACCTGGGTATTTCAGTTGAAGGTGCTGAATTCATTCACCGCTTTCACTCCTCTCTGTGAGTGCTGCAGACCACAGCTACTTCTAATCGGCCATCCGTTTTCCTTTATAATGAACAAAAAATATCTGCCTATAGCACCTGCCCTTGTCCTGCAAAGCAGCTCAGTGTTCACCGTACTTTTTGCTGTATGAATTCCCTTCGGATATCTGAAGATGACAGGCACAATTCCTGGCATTGGGCATGCATTCTGCCACCAAAGAGCTGTGTTGTTGGGATGGGTATGGCCCTCCTCAGGTGCCTCTTCTCAATAGGATTTTTTTTTTTGTCAGAGTAGTAATATTTTTAGTACTTTAGAGTGAGTCAATATATCAGATTTTTGAGAATTCAGGTGGCAATAGTAGGGAGGATTGTGGATGGATGGGGGAGGAAGAGATATTTACACTGCTGGATGCAGTGGCTCACGCTTGTAATCCCCGTGCTTTGGGAGGCTGAGGCGGGAGTATCACTTGAGCCCAAGAGTTTGAGACCAGCCTGGGCAAAATAATGAGACTCTGTCTCTACAAAAATTAAACAATTAGCTGGGCATAGTGGTGTACGCGTGTAGTCCCAGCTGCTTGGGAAGCTGAGGTGGGAAGATTGTTTGAGCCCAGGAGTTCAAGGCTGCAGTGAGCTATGATTGCACTACTGCACTCCAGCTTGGGAAAGAGAGTGAGACGCCATCTCAAAAAAAAAAAGCGAAAAGATATTTACACTGACTGCCTTCTGTATGTGTTGTATGTGTGTATATGTATTTATTATTGTACATAATTCTATATACTGTTGAATCTAGATAAGGGAACTAAGCCCAGCAGGAGTCTAGTGATTTGCCAAAGCTCCCCTCAGTGGAGGGGCCAGGATTTGAACCCTTTTGGTGTGACTTCAAAACCAATGCTTGTTTTTCTAATCAGGCTGAGAGTTGCGAATTGGCTATTTCAGAGTTGGTTATTGAATGTGGAAGAGCCTATTGTTTCAAACGTTTTGCTTTTCCATTAGATCAGATCCCTCCTGCACCCCACGCAGCTGGAATTAAGAAATTGCTTATGTGTTCATTATGTTTTATTTTATTTCTGACAGTTACTTGCTGGACAGAAGAAAAGCTCCCCCTTCTGGACATTTGAATACTACCAAACATTCTTTGATGTGGACACCTACCAGGTTTGGAAACCAATTTCACCTTTCCTTTTACGGGTAAAGGAGACTTGTTTCTTTAATGGTTGAACAACCAAATAATGTGAAAGCCTTTATATACTGAAAATGGTCTTACAAAAGTAAAGGGTTATTAGCATTTGAAAATACTATCATAAAAGCTCTAATGACTGAGTTTCAATTTTGTAGTAGTTGAATTTATTAAACTTAAAAAACTTCAGTAGAATTACTGCTATGATGTTTTCCAGGTCTTTGACAGAATTAAAGGATCTCTTTTGCCAATACCCGGGAAAAACTTTGTGAGGTTATATATCCGCAGCAATCCAGATCTCTATGGTATGTTTAGTACTGATTTGTTTACCGTATTTCAGTTGAACTTGGGTGAGTGTGAGGGTTGCCTGGAAATGTGGAGAACTGCACTATTGGTGGGGCATGCCATGTATTATTAGACTTTTCTGAACTTCAGTAGCAACCCTTGCAAGTAATTTTGGAGGAATACAATTATGTGTTATATTAGTGCCACGTCATCATTACAAGTACTAGTATATCCTTCAAAGGTCTTTAAATGGGGCTGAGCGCAGTGGCTCATGCCTATAATCCCAGCACTTTGGAAGGCTAAGATGGGAGGATTGCCAGAGGCTAGGAGTTTGAGACCAGTCTGGGCAACATAGCAAGACCCTGTCTCTACTAAAGGCTGGGTTGGCACAGTGGCTGCCGCCTGTAATCCCAACACTTTGGGAGGCCAAGGCAGGAGGATTGCTTGAGCCCAAGGAGTTTGAGACCAGCCTGGGCAACATAAGGAGACCCTATCTCTACTAAAAAATAAAAATAAAAAGAATGATTTTTAAAAATTCTTCAAATAACTTTACAACTTGAGACAAATTTAGTCACTTTGACTAGGTGGAGATTGGACCATTTGATGTTGGAGGAGAAGGTATTCTCACACTTTTTCATTGATATGCTGAGTTCCAGCTCTGCCCTCAGATGAGCTGGCTCCTTTTAGGATTTGGTCACCAGCAGTGGAAGTCTAAAACAGGATTGGGCCGGGGATTGTTGTCATCCCTGACCTTAATGCTGTCTGAGAAAAACTCAGAGGTCCACCCAGTACTCCTGAGGAAAAGGCCCCAACAGTGGCCTGTGTTTGAGGGGAGAAGAGAGTGCTGTCCGTGTGCCAGGTGCTGTACCAAAGACTGTGTGTGTACTTGATCATATCTCATTCTTGCAACAACCCTTGCAAAGTATCCCCACTTTTCAAATGAGGAAGCTGATGCTCAGTGAGGATCATTGATATATATGCTCAATCAGAAATGATAAATAGTAAAGCAGTCATATATGTTGATTTTAAATATGGACTCTAGGGAGCCTGGTGTGAAAACCATTGCACTGGCCCATGCTTTTCATCTGAGGGTTGTCAGGGTGGTTTCTCTGTCTCATTCATTCTTACTTGTAGCCTGAGAACATCCTGAGGGGCAGGCTCTGTGCCTCAGTGTCTTTAGTGCCTGGCAGAGGCCTTGGCACACAGCAGGTGCTCAAACAATTTTTAGCACCTTATTTTATGCTAGACTCTGTGCTAGAGGCTGAGGATTTAAAGATAAGGCCATGGTCCCTAGCCCCAATGAGGAAGAAGAGAGAACACTAACATCTGTTGAATACCTTATAAGTGCCAAGCGTGGAGATAAGCACTATTTTAGTATTTTATGCTATTTTATTTCCCATACTCCAAGGTAGCCTTATCTTACAAAAGAGAAAACTGAGATTAAGGAGATAACTTGCCCGTAGTTACAGAGTTAGCAATAATAATGGCAAACACACATATAATGCTTATTATGTGCCAGACACTATTATTAGGGCAGTACCTGTATTAACTCATTTAATCCTTATGCCAGATCCAACTTCATGAGGGAGATACTATTATTATCCCCATTTTATAGATGAGGACACTGAGTCACACAGAGGTCCAGTAACTTGCCTGAGATTATACAGCTAGTAAGTGCTGGGCTCAATTTTCAAATCAACACTGTAGCTCATAATCCATTTCTTCATCACTATGCTATACTGCCTCTCATGACAAAGCCAGGGCTTGAATCCAAGGCTTGCTTCTTTTCTGTGACACTAGTAGCCTCATTAGCTCATAGACGTGGTTAAAAGAAGAAGGTACAATATAGGTGAAGTGTTTGATAGCAGAGAGGATTAGGTTTTGTTGTGGGTGGAGGTTAGAGGAAGGCAGTTAAGAAAAAGATGACAATTTACAGAGTGTAAGGAAAAGATTGATAACTTTGACTACATTTCACCTAAAATTTAAAATTTCTACACAACAAAATAAACCATAAGTAAAGTAAAAAAATAAACCACAGACCAGGGGACATACTTCCAATGCATATAACCAACAAACAGTGAGAAACAAGAATATATGTCGAACTCCCACAAATTAGAAGAATAAACCAAGCAACTCTGGGGAAAAAATTGCCAATAAATATATGAAAAGATGCTTAGCCCCACCTGCAACCAGAGAAATAAAAAGTAAAATAAGATTATTTATGCTCATTATTTTAGTAAACATACACAGTTTGGCTTGTCTTCATTTATTCATTCAATTCATTCAACAAACATTGAGCTCTTGCTATTGTACTGGAGATACAGCAGTGAAAACATAAAAATCTCTACCCTTAGGCAATTTTTAATTTACTGAGCTTAACAATAAGCAAAGAAAAGTAAAATATATAGTTTTCTAGTAATGAATGCTTAGGTGAAAATTTAATAGCAGAGAGAAGAAGGACATGAAGTGTTTGTATAAATGGGTGAATTTGAAAATTTAAAAAGGTGAATTTTGAGTAATGACCTGAAGTAATTGGGAGTGATTTATGTAGATATCTAAGGGAAGAGCACTTGAAACAGAAGGATCAGCAAGTGCAAAGGCCCTGAGGCAAGAGCTAGCCTAGTACATTCAAAGAACCTCAAGAGGCTATTGCGACTGGATGAGAGTGAACAGGGGGACCTAGAAGGAGATGAGGTGAGAGAGACAGTGTGGAGGGACAGGTAAGGTCTCATAAGTCACAGTGAGGACTTTGGCATTTGCTTGAATGCAAAGCCATTGGAGAGTTTGGACAGACGAGTAACATACTTTTTTGTTTTTTGAGACTGGGTCTTGCTCTGTTGCCCAGGCTGGAGTGCAGTGGCTCGATAATGGCTCACTGCAGCCTCAAAATCCTGGGCTCAAGCCATCCTCCCCCACCTCATCTTCATGAGTATCTGGGACTACAGGCATGTGCCACCATGCCTGGATAATGTTTGTATTTTTTGTAGAGACAGGGTCTCACTATGTTGTCCAGGCTGGCCTCAAACTCCTGGCCTCAAGCAATCCTCCTGCCTTACCCTCCCAAAGTGCTGACCTTACAGGCATGAGCCACTGCCCCAAGCCAGGAGTGACATACTCTAAGTCAGATTTCATGAACATTGATATTAAGTGTGGCCAAGGATATGGAGCAGTGGAAACTTTTGTATGGTAGGTATGTAACTGGTGGGTATGTAACTGGTACACAAATTGGAGCAGTTTGAAGATGCTTATACCCTATAATTCAGCAGTTTCACTCCTAGGTAGATAATTTTAGAGGAATTCACATATATATGGAACAACATATAGAAGAATATTATCCACTGTAGCAGTATTGCTTGTAATAGCAAATATTTAGAAACAACCAAGATATCCATCAGCAGGAGAATGGATACATTGTGCTACTATATTTATACATGGAATTCTGTAGTTAAAAAAATGAATGAGAGCTAAAAGCATAAATATAGATAAATCTTAGCACAATGATTTTAAAAAGCATGTTGTGGAAGGATATGAATAGAATGATACCATTAAAAATATATATATATTTTTTGAGACAGAGTCTCACTCTGTCACCCAGGCTGGAGTGCAAAGGCGCAATCTCGGCTCACTGCAACCCCTGAGTCCTGGGTTCAAGTGATTCTCCTGCCTCAGCCTTCCCGAGTAGCTGGGACTACAGGCATGTGCCACCACGCCAGCTAATTTTTGTATTTTTAGTAGAGACGGAGTTTTACCATGTTGGCCAGGCTGGTCTCAAACTCCTAACCTCAAATGGTCTGCCTGCCTCAGCCTCCCAAAGTGCTGGGATTATAGGTGTGAACCACCATGCCCGGCCTAAAAATATTTTTTAAAAGTGACATGCTAGGTAACCAGTGTTTGTGTTATTCTTCGTGCTTTTCTGTATGTTAGAAATATTTCATAATATAAAAATGCATAATATGAAATTTTAATTATAAATACAACCTAAATTAAGGCTCTCTCCCACCCCCAACCCATAATAAGAGTAGGAATTTGGCAGGAAACGGAGAAGGCAGTATGAAGCAACATGGCAGGTCCTGGGATGAGTGGGTGTCGTAAGTCTCTGGAGTCCAGCCTTCCACTGGGGGTAGCTGGAGAAGTTACAGAGCCCAGATCCTGGGGCCTTTTATATCAGCCTCAGGAATTAGGATTTTGTCCTTAAGCAGTGGAGGTTCAGTGAAGGGTTGCAAACGGGGGAGAGGGATGATAATAGGAGAGGGACAAAAATGCTAAGGGCTGGGAAAGTTATCTTGCTTGTGTCCAAGGATGAGCATTGGGCCACATAGAGGTAGTGGGTGGGCAGGTGTTGGACCTTTCAGGCCACCTGAAAATATTGTTTCTCCAGCTGTTCCCGTGCCAGAGTTGTTAGGTAGCTTAGAGCATGGGGCAGCTAGAGAATGCTAGATAAGTCTTCACATTAGTATACATATCTTCCCATACCAGCCTGCCTTTAAAAAAGTTAATTAATATTTTAGTGAAAGGGTTTCATCATGTTGCCCAGGCTGGTCTTGAACTCCTGAGCTCAAGTGATCTGCCTGCCTCAGCCTCCCAAAGTGCTGGGATTATAGGTGTGAGCCACCGCATTCCCCCCCGCCCCCACTTTTTTTTTTTTTGAGATGAGGTCTTGCTGTGTTGCCAAGGCTGGAGTGCGGTAGCTATTCAGAGGCATGATCATAGCTCCCTGCTGCCTCAAACTCCTAGCCTCAAGTGACCCTCTCACCTCAGTGTCCTGAGTAGCTGGGACTACAGGCTTAAGCCACCAGGCCCAATTCACAGGCTTCCTGTTGCCCTCAAGATAAATTCCTAACTCAACAGGGCTTCTAAGACCCTTCATGATCTGACTCTGGCCCATCTCTTCAATCTCTGGCTACTCCTGACCTGAAGCTTGGCCTCGAACTGGTACCTCTTACTTCAGTCTCTGCTCCTGCTATTCCCTCTTCACGGACCTCTCTTCTCTTCTGTCCTCACTTGGTGAACTCCTGTTCTTCTTTAGATCCCAGCTTACACATCCCTTTCTCTAGGTTTTCCACCTTCCCTATATGCTCCCATAGGCACCCTGTACTACCTTCTGAGATTAGATATTTTATTGATCGTCTCCCCGGAGTGCATGGGTGCACTAGAGGCAGTGACTGTGTCTCTGTTGCCCATCATCGTGTCCCCAGCAGAGGGTAGTGGGTACTTAGTAAATAATGACTGAGAGGACATAATATTCTTGGTTTTCTAGTTATTTGGGTATTGTAAGTTAATATTTTGGCCACTTGTGGTCATACCCTTGGATGGTCTCAGCTCATCTATAACACATGGTCAGATTTATTCATTCAGTAAAGCTTTTTGGCTATAGGGGCTTTGTGGGGTTTTTTGTTTGTTGTTGGTTTTTTTTGCCACTCTTATGTGTGGTCACTCAGAATAATACTGTGAGATTTAGTCCTTGTCTACAGCAGAAAGCTTTCAGTCTAGTGAGTAAAGAGGCAGTTTGTGGAGAGCTAATATTGGTGACTTTTTGAAGCATACCCATTTGATTGCTTGTGTTCCTTTTCCCACCTTCAGGGGCCAGTGCTTGCCTTTGAAAAGTACTAATCTGTTTCTGCTAGTCATCTCACCTATGACAGTAATGTTCGTAATTTTGTGACGTGTCAAGGTACCTGAAATTATCCCAAAGGGTGTTGCAAAATATTAGTGAAATTGAAAAATGAAATTCATACAATTTATTAAAATCTCTCAATCTAAAGATAGTATTTGTTCTACATAGTACTTTTTCTAGATGGGGAGAGACAAGGATAGTGTTCACGAAATCATGCAAATAATGAAAGAGGTTTGTAAAGCATGGTCCACTCATCTGCTCAGTGGTATATCTTAAAACCATTGAAAAAGAACAAGCTGATTTTTATGAGTAGCTGTGATAGACTCACCAGGCTATATTAAGGTGAAAATAGAAGGGTACACAGGAGGACATATATGTATGTTATCATCTGTATAAAATATGCACATATACACATGCATTTGCTTATATACATGAGTGGAATATTCCTAGCAGGTTTCATCAGAAACTGCTTACTTTGGTGAGCTTTAGGGAGGAAAGATAGAGAGCCGGGGCACAGAGAGGGAGTGGATCTTGCTGTTCTCCATATTCCCTTTGTACCTTTTGAAACACTGGACCATATACATATATTACTTTTTTTAATTTTTAATTTTAATTTTTGTGGGTAGACAGTAGGTGTATATAGTGCATTGTATTACTTTTTCATTAAAAAAAAAAAGAAAAAGCCTTAAGCACACACACACACACACACACACACTGACACTCAACACAACCGTGGTGAACTGGTAGGTTTAATCGACTCTGCCCTCATGTGTTCTGTTTGCCCTGCTCTTTCTGTATGCTGCACAAGCTCTGTCTGATTTAACTTCTTTCTCTGTGATGCTAACATTTGGCACTTAGATAAGCGAAGTAATCTTTACTTCATGTATTCTGGTGGAAGGTTTAATAAAAAGCCTGTGAATTTTTCTTTGTCGGTGGTGATCCTCCAACAAAAGAAGCTATACAGAAATCAGTGTCTTCATTCACCTAATTGTGGAAGGCGTTTTGGCCTTTGGATTGGAGTACCAACACCCCACCTTCTTTAAGGCAGCTAATTACTGAGATGTGTGTTTGACCTTTGAAAAAAAAATTTCCCTTCAGCAAGTGTTGATCCCATCTAGAAAATTCATTTTCTTTTGCTAACATGAATACAAGAGGAAGATAAGAAATTCTGTAAGAATCTAAAGGCTTATGCTTCATTTTCTTGTTTCTGAATTTTCTGGTTTCCTTTGCAGGCCCCTTTTGGATATGTGCCACGTTGGTCTTTGCCATAGCAATTAGTGGGAATCTTTCCAACTTCTTGATCCATCTGGGAGAGAAGACGTACCATTATGTGCCCGAATTCCGAAAAGGTTGGTGAATAGCTTGACTCATTTGGAATGCTGTCAGTTTCTAGCTTTGAGTTCTTTTTACCCACTGAGCTCCTGGGCCCCATCTCTAGATGCTGCAGCCCTGCTTTTGTGTTTTAGGGTTCAATGTATCTACTCAAATGTGTAGATGAGTTTACCACCCATCTATATAAATCCACATAATCTTTTTCTTCTTACAGTGGTAAAATATATATTACATAAAATTTACCATTTAAATGTGTAATTCAATGGCATTAAGTACATTCACAATGTTATGAGTCCACATAATCTTTGGGAAAGCTGTAAATCAAGGCCGAATAGCAACTGCAGTTTATTCCTTTTTTTTTTTTTTTTTTTTTTTTGAGACAGTGACTCGCTCTGTCACCCAGGCTGGAGTGCAGTGGTACGATCACAGCTCACTGCAGCCTCCACCTCCCTGGGCTCAAGTAATCCTCCCACCTCAGCCTCCTGAGTAGCTGGGACCATAGGCATGCAACACCATACCTGGCTAATTTTTCTATTTTTTTATAGAGATAGGTCTCCCTGTGTTGCCCAGGCTGATCTCAAACTCTTGGGCTCAAGTGATTCTCCCATCTTGGCCTCCCGAGGTGCTAGGTAGGATTACAGGTGTGAGCCATCACACCTGGCCACAGCTGGAATATATTCTAAGACAAGTGTACAAAATAATTTAAAGGTGTGTGTGAAGGTCTCCTGTGTGGCATTATTTGTATTATCCACATTTTGGAGACAATAGAAACATTGTTTTAGGCTGTGATGGCTCAACTAGCTGGGGTCATCTGCAATTGCCAGTCACAAAGCACCTAGAGCTATGTGGAAAATTCATAACTTATTCCAAACTGGTGCCTATTCTGTTAGCAACTTTGCTGAAGAGAAATCTGGGCTGGACATGGTTGCTCATGCCTGTCATCCCAGCACTTTGGGAGGCCAAGGTGGGAGGATTGCTTGAGCTGAGGAGTTTGAGATCAGCCTGGGCAACATAGTGAGACCTTGTCTCTAAAACTAAAAACTAAAAAAAAGTTACCGGGTATGGTGGTGCATGCCTGTAGTCCCAGCTACTCAGGAGGCTGAGTTGGGAGGATGACTTGAGCCCAGAGATTGAGGCTGTAGTGAGCTGTGATCGTACCACTGCACTCCAGCCTGGGTGACAGAGCGAGTCACTGTCTCAAAAAAAAAAAAAAAAAAAAAAAAAAAAAGAGACCCGGTGCGGTGGCTCAAGCCTGTAATCCCAGCACTTTGGGAGGCCAAGGTGGGTGGATCACAAGGTCAGGAGTTCGAGACCAGTCTGACCAACATGGTGAAACCCGTCTCTACTAAAAATAAAAAATTATCCAGGCATGGTGGCGCATGCCTGTAATCAGGAGGCTGAGGCAGGAGAATTGGTTGAACCCAGGAGGCGGAGGTTGCAGTGAGCCGAGATCACGCTACTGCACTCTAGCCTGGGCAACAGAGAGAGACTCTGTCTCAAAAAAAAAAAAAAAAAAGCGGGGAGAAAGAAGTCTGCAAATGATCAAAGCCTGGAAGGGAAAATGCAGAAATGAATGTGTCCTAGGGATGGGCTTGTGAATGACATTCTTGTTTTAAAACGTCCTTTCTTATGTCAGTATTGGGTATTTAGAAGAAAAAACAAAACAGCTTTTAGAGACTTGCAGATGACAGCTGCCCCCAAATGAGGAAGTTTGGCTTTGTCGGAGATTGGCCTGTACCACTTTCTCAGTTCCCTCGCTCTCTCCCTGCCTGCTCTGCTGTCGAGAGGCTGTAAGTAGCCTGGATAAGAGCACCAGTTCTGGAACTAGACTGCTAGCTTCAGTTCCAGCTCCACCACTCACTAGCTTCTACTCTGTTGGGCAAGCTATTTTATGTCTGAGCCTCAGATTCTTCATTGGTGAAATGGAAATAATAATATTTATCTTACAGGACTATTGTAAGAATAAAGAGTTAATATATATAAAAAGCTTAGAATAGTGGTTTGTACCAAAAAGAGTTCAATAAACATTAACTATTACTATACACACACACACACACAAAAATATGTGCACATATATTCAATCCCATTATTTATCCAGTAACCTTGGTTTGAGTTTAATGCAATAAATGTTAACCATGAGATAGAAACCCTGCCTTCAGCTAGTTCACTGTGTGTACATAGAAAGATATGTATTTGCCTGTGTGTGTGTGTGTGTGTGTGTGTGTGTGAGAGAGAGAGAGAGAGAGAGAGAGAGAGAATGTATCCATGTATCCTTCCTTCTTTTCTTCCCCTCTACCTTCCATGCCCACTTTCCCTTCTTGTCCATCATGGAGTCAGACTTGGATTCAATCCCAACTCTATCAAATAACCTTGATTTGAGTTTAATTCAGTAAATATTAACCATGAGATATAGATCCTGCCTTCAAGTAGTTCAGTGGTTAGAAAGCTAGTAAATGACTATTGCTGTAAACAGTACATATTAACCTCTATATCAGAGATAAGTGTAGGTATATTGACATAGAAGAAGGAGTGAACCACTTTGCCTGGGGATCTGGAAACTCAGGAGAGTCTTTACCTGTTCTTATCCTCTTTGGCTGGGCATCCCAGTATCAGGAAGTGATGTGATATATATACTGGTAAAGTAGTCATTGGCCCTATCAATAAACATTTTTCCGTTTTATGTAAAAAGTATGAGTCACATCTGAGATGAGATCCTGCTTCTACTAACTTGTTAATTATGTGACCTTGACCAAACAACTTAGCTTCTCTGACCCCTTTTCCTCATCTCTAAAATGACAATATAGATTGTATGAAATAAATGTAGCTACATATTAGTTAACAATATAAAAACTAATTCTTGATTGAGCATTTATTATTGATCAGTCGCTCTTCTACATAGAACAGTTCTTACCTGCTTTTATTCATTTAATTCTCCTATTAATCTTAGAAGGTAGTATATTATTTTTCTTCCCATTTTATAGATGAGGAAACTGAGACAGGAAGGTTAAGTAACTTACCCCCAAGAGTTTCTTTTCCTAGAACTAGAACCCATGGAGTCTGTATACAGAGTCTGTGCCCTTGACCATTATTCCACATTGCCTCTCAATAAAGCACCGAGTGTAATACCTGATGCCCAGTAGTTGATCAATAAGTGACAGCTATAGCCATGGGAGTAATTTCCTCCTCTTCCCTTAGTTATCCAAGAAAAAGGCAGTACATCAGCAGAATTACATTTGGCCTAACGAGGCAATTCCCAGTGTGAAAAAACTGTTCTGGGAGCTAAAACATGTTTTGGACATTCATGTCTTAACCAGAGTCTGACTATAATTGTTAGGGGTGTCTTTGTTCTTGCCAAGATGCATTAAGTGAATTACCTACTGATTTTCATGTAGAAAGGGCTGGTGCCATGGCTTACCTATAACTTTATGACCTCCACTCCAGAAGAGGGAAAGGGAATCCTCCAGGGCGTGCTGCTACTAGAGGAAGAGGAGAGAGGTACAGGAATATGCTGAACGTTGCTGTTCTGAGGAGCCACTCAATAGCATTTTTGCCACAGTGGCGGAATTATTTATTTAAGGAAGAAAGTATAACTGGAGAATATTTCAAGCAGTTAATCAGTGAGCTGCATCTCCCAATTTCAGAGACAGAGGAACTCTAGAGAGCATGCAGAGCAAGTTAATCTCTACCCAAGGCATTTTAATACATTTGCTAAAGAAGTCAGTGTCAGCCGGGCGTGGTGGCTCACGCCTGTAATCCCAGCACTTTGGGAGGCGGAGGCGGGCGGATCACGAGGTCAGGACCATCCTGGCTAACACGGTGAAACCCCGTCTCTACTAAAAATACAAAAAATTAGCCGGATGTGGTGGCGGGCGCCTGTAGTCCCAGCTACTCGGGAGGCTGAGGCAGGAGAATGGCGTGAACCCGGGAGGCGGAGCTTGCAGTGAGCCTAGATCGCGCCACTGCACTCCAGCCTGGGCGACAGAGCAAGACTCTGTCTCAAAAAAAAAAAAAAAAAAAAAAAGGAAGTCAGTGTCAGCTCTTGTTATACCGAGGAAGAGAACATGTTCTTCCAAGGGGATAGTTGGTTTTTATTTGATTGAAATATCTACTATATATGAACATTTGCAGTGTGGCCCTCTGAAGTATTTCAGTTGCATAGTTCAGTTGTTTAATAATATTAGTTGTTAGTTATTAAATGACCTATAAAAACCATATGAGAGACTATTGATCCTCACCACAAAGACGAATGGTAAAGATTCATTAATTCAACAAACATTTCTAAAGTGCCTACTGTGTGTTAGGTACTGTACCAAGCTCAGGGATTACAGACCAGTAAGACATGATTCCGTGGTCCACTGAAGTCAATTGACATGTTAGCATTTAAGTACAATAAGGTGTTGGAAGTGCTCTGATAGTCTACTAAAGGCATGATGGAGATTGAAACTTGTGTCCTGTCATCCTCAGTGTCCATAGCAGCTACCATCATCTATGCCTATGCCTGGCTGGTTCCTCTTGCACTCTGGGGTTTCCTCATGTGGAGAAACAGCAAAGTTATGAACATCGTCTCCTATTCATTTCTGGAGATTGTGTGTGTCTATGGATATTCCCTCTTCATTTATATCCCCACCGCAGTAAGTACCATACTTAGGGAGTAGATTCTGAGTGATGCTCTGTTCTTGGTAGAAACTTCAACCAAGAATTTGACCTACCATCATTATTTCCAGCGCAATACTCATGTTCTTCTGAAAAAATCTCCTTTGAAGTTAGAAGTTAAGCATGAAAGGGGTCTGGGGAGCCTAGTGCCTTCATTGGATCTTGGGCCCTTTGTTATAAAAGCATATGCCTCAGTCTACATGCTGGTGGTGTTCCTCCAGCCTGTACTGAAAAACCAGAGTGGCAATGGGGGCCCAGCTGCTGATTGGCTCAGGGGCCTTTGTAAACATATGTGCCTGGAATGAACAAATGCCTCCCAAGAACTCCCCGCTCCTCCTTTTCTCTTCTTTCAGATACTGTGGATTATCCCCCAGAAAGCTGTTCGTTGGATTCTAGTCATGATTGCCCTGGGCATCTCAGGATCTCTCTTGGCAATGACATTTTGGCCAGCTGTTCGTGAGGATAACCGACGCGTTGCATTGGCCACAATTGTGACAATTGTGTTGCTCCATATGCTGCTTTCTGTGGGCTGCTTGGTATGGGTTCAGTCGTATATTCTTTTGGTGTGTTTTATATCCAAATGCTAAAAGACCTCAAACTGTTAGACACAACAGTTCTTTTAAAATTGAGTCCATGGGCTGGGCATGTTGGCTCACACCCATAATCCCAATACTTTGGGAGGCCCAAGTGGGCGGATCTCGAGCTCGGGAGCTCAAGACCAGCCTGGGCAACATGGTGAAACCCTGTCTCTACTAAAAATACAAAAATTAGCTGGGCATCGTGGCTTAAACGATCCTCCCACCTCAGCATCGCAAGTAGCTGGTACTTGGGAGGCTGAGGTGAGAGGATCGCTTGAGCCCAGGAGGTGGAGGTTGCAATGAGCTGAGATCATACCACTGTACTCCGGCCTGGGTGACCGAGGGAGACCCTGTCTCAAAAGAAAAAAAAATTGATTCTATGAAATAAAATTTCATTTTAAGTAGACTCACCTACATGGGAAGTGGTGAAATTATGAGAATTTGGCTTTAGTCTTTGGTTTTGCCTAATTTCAGTAATCTGATGAGAATTTGGGGTCTGACCAGAGGAAATAGGTGTGGATGAGTGTCTGTATACATTTGTTCCTTGGTATGGGGGTTGTGGGGGTGTGGTTGGTTCCAGGACCCTCTATGGATACCAAAGCATGGATGCTCAAGTTCTCTATATAAAAATGGTGTACAGACATCCTCCTATGTGCTTTACATCATTTCCAGATTACTCATAATACCTAGTGCAATGTAAATGCTATGTAAATAGTTATTATACTGTATTTTAAAATGTGTATTATTTTTATTGTCATATTGGTGTTTTTAACTTACATATTTTTAAAGAATATTTTTCATCGTGGTTGGTTGAGCCTGAGCATGCTGAGCCTGTGGATGTGGAGGGCTGACTATATAGAGTTAGGGAGCTGGGGTGGGGGATTCTGTTTTTGGATGTCTTTGCTGATTTTCTGCACATACCTAGAAAGATTTTTGAAATTTAAAGTTTTATTTAAAGGTAGAAAGTTTAAAGTTTAAAGGTAGGAATTAAAAGTTTTAAATTTGAAGGTAGAAAGCTTGAAAATGAAGTCAGATATGGGAAAGTGGAGTTACTTTTAAGGTGAACAACATTTAAAGTAGTGTTTGAGTTCATATGTAGGTGTCTTTTTAGGGAGAGAGCATGTGCTTTTGAGTCAGATAAGCCCAGATTGAAGACCGGCTCTGTCACTCATTGGCTGTGTGAACTTGGAGATGTTATTGTTCCTCTCTGAATCTTAATTTCTTAATCTGTGACATGGGTATATTTCCTGCCACAAGATTGTTCTGAGAGGCAAATAAAATGATATCTATAAAGCACTTAACATGGAACTTGTCCTGTAAATGCCCATAAATTAGGTCCCTTTCCTTTGATCCTAAGGAGACATGGTTTTGTGTCTTCTGTACACTGTGCACAAAATTTGCTGCCCACGGCCTTAACAAGCCCTGTTGCAGGTTTTGAAAAAAAAATCAGAGTCCAAGAATGTTAAGGTCCCTAATAAAGGAAAGGACATGGC
Organism: Homo sapiens; assembly: GCF_000001405.40. Taxonomy (NCBI): domain Eukaryota; kingdom Metazoa; phylum Chordata; class Mammalia; order Primates; family Hominidae; genus Homo; species Homo sapiens. Next base: position 53,864,664 of record NC_000001.11, on the reverse strand, counting down.
CATGGGAAGGTGTCTTAGTCCACATGGCAGGTTTCCAGACCCTTGGTCAGGTTTTGCAATTTTAGGAGTAAATGTTTCTTTGGCATCATTTGATCTTTAACATTTTTGTGTAGATAACCATGTCTCATTAAATGCATTAATCTGATTAGAATTTCATTAGATTAATGAAATCCCAATGCCTTATCATTAAACAAGTTTCATAAAAAGTGCCAAGTTGTGAAACACAAACCTAGTTTACATGCACTTTACATGTGCGTAAGCTTTAAGCCCTCAAGGCGGGCCTGTTGGTTTGACTCATGGCAGAATGACACTATTAATTTCTGGCACTTGGAATCTCTGAGTTGATCCCTTAAAATGCTGCCGTGACTCTTCTGGGACTTTTCTGTCTGCTGAAGAACATCCTTTTCATTGTGACCAACTCTCACTGGCATCTCTCGTCCCTCACTGGCATCTCCCGTCTCTCTTCTGAAGTTCTTCCCCTCACGTGCCTGGCTGAGAAGTTGGTGAGGAGAAGGAGGCAGGAGAGGAGGCATTGCCCTTCTCATTTCTCTAAGGAATAGGAGCAGGGCAGGTTGAGCAGTGAAGCAGGGAGCTATTATGGTTATTATTAAGAACCCACTTCAGGCCAGGCTTGGTGGCTCTCGCCTATAATCCCAGCACTTTGGGAGGAAGTTGCAGGCAGATGGCTTGAACTCAGGAGTTCGAGATCAGCCTGGGCAACATGGTTAAACCCTGTCTTTACCAAAAATATAAAAAAATCAGCCAGGTATGGTGGCACGTGCTTGTAGTCTCAGCTACCAGGGAGGCTGAGGTGTGAGAATCGCTTGAGCCTAGGAGGTGGAGGTTGCAGGGAACTGAGATTGCGCCACTGCACTCCAGCCTGGGTGACAGATCGAGACTTCATCTCAAAAAAACAAAAAAAAGAACCCATTTCATCTAGTACCTGTGGCAGGACCTTTTACCTCCTGTGCCTATTGTTCCCTTTTGGGGCAGATGGCGCTGAAACCAGGATTTACCTGCCCATCTTGCTGCTCAGGAACTTTCTAAAAGAGCGTAATTCTGAAGCAGGGAGTGCCCTGGACTGAGAGATGCTCAGCGCTGCAAACCTAGGCAAGAGACTTGCTTCTCAGAACCTTGGTTTCCTCATCTGTGAAAGGGATTGTTGTTTTCTTGGGGTTTTGTGAGATGCCATGAGCTGGCTGTGAAAGCCCTCCATATACTGTGAAGTGTTCCTCAGATGCAAAGTCATTAAAGGAGCCTGTGTCGTCAGACACTGCCAGGGCCAGTATGCTGCTTATTCCTCCATAGTACCCAAGTAAGAGTGGTCCAAGGTCCCACAGCTGGTACCCGGGCCAAAGCTGAAGTCTCCCACTCTTAATGACAATGCCCTTCCTTGTTGCCTCTCACTGGCATCTTCTTATCTCTCCTGAACTTTTTACCCATTACACACCTGGATGAGAAAGCAGTGGAGATGAGGAGACAGAAGAGGCTGTTCAGTCTGTAAGGGACTCAGAAGAGCGGGACGGGTTGGACTGTGGAGCAGGGAGGTCCTTGTGGGGTGCAGGGCCTCTTCCTGGAGAGGAAGGCTCAGTTTTCTCTTTCTGGAGGAAGGGAACCATCCCGTGGTCAGGTGTCTAGCCAGGGGCCCATCATGCCTGGGTTTTGTTCTCCACAGTGACCAGCCCCTCCTTTTTCTTCTGGAGGCATTGTGCGCTGCAGAAGGGCTGAGCCAGAAGTTAGGAAACTTGGGTTCCAGTCCTAGCTCCACTGTCACCTGGTTGGGTGATTTCCCTTCTCTGGACTCCTGCCTCCTCACTTAGAAACAGGGGCCGATCGTGCATGCCATGGCAACATCTTTACGTTGCAAGGATTGAATGATATATGCAGCATGGAAAATATGACGAGTCATGTAAATGGAAGACATTATTATTAGGGCAGAGAGAGGAACTGGCAGGGGAGTTATTTGAGCTGAGGGGCACCGGCTGAACCAGACAGCTTGGCTTCCTCACTCTCCCCTGGGGAACACGGATTGGTGTTTTTGCCTTAGTGCAGTGAAGCATATAACAGCCCCACACTTGCCAGGGACCCCTCGGTGATTGCACATGTAAATGATGTCTAAGTTATACAAGAACACACTGGCAGGGATGACTAAGGAAGCACCTAGAGGCTGCACCCTTGGTGTATGTTTGGAGATGTACAAGCCTAAGTTTGAGGTGGTTACTGCTGGCTTTTACAGGGAGCTGTGCCCTACCCCTACTCACAGAGAACCTGCTGATTCAGCTTTGAGGTCTCCACGGTGCCTAGATCCGGACCGGACATAGACTAGGTGCCAAATTGCAGGAAGTGTTGGAGAATTAGAAGAGCACAGACTATGGAGATGGACTCGACTGGATTGAAATCCTAGCTCAGACACATAGTTGTCTAGCCTTGGGAAAATCTCCATTTCTTTGAGCCTCAGCTTTCTCATCTTTAAAAGGGATAAAATGGCCTGTTACAGCACTTTTGAGCAGATTAATGATCAAGTATATGTCTGGTGCACAGTAGGCATTCCCCAAATGATGGCTGTGATTGTTATTAAGCATTTTTGGAATTAATGAATCATAGAATTCAAGATTGTTCAAGGAATGGCCCTAAGAGATCATCTTTTCTTTTTGAGTCAGTTTCCCTCTGTCACCCAGGCTGCAGTGCAGCAGTGTGATCTAGGCTCACTGCAACCTCTGCCTCCTGGGCTGAAGCAATTCTTGTCCCTCAGCCTCCTGAGTAGCTGGGATGACAGGCATGTGCCACCACGCCTGGCTAATTTTTGTATTTTTAGTAGAGGTGGGGTTTCACCATGTTTGCCGGGCTGGTCTTGAACTCCTGGCCTCAAATGATCCACCTGCCTTGGCCTCCCAAAGTGCTGAGATTACAGGTGTGAGCCACCACACCCAGCTGAGATCTTATTTACTTTTCTTCCCTCCCTCCCTCCCTCCCTCTCTCTCTCCCTTCCTTCCTTCCTTCCCCCCTCCCTTCCTTCCTTCCTTCCCTGCCTGCCTTCTCTCTCTCCTTCTCACTCTCTTTCCTTCTCTCTCCACCACACCCAATCTCTCTCTCTCTCTTGAGTCACCACACCAGCCCCAAGATCATCTTTTCTAATCCTTTAATTTTATAGATCAGAAAGTTGAGGCCAAAGCAGGTGGAGCGACTTGTCCAAAGTCACAGTGTGAGCTAATAGCAGAGCCAGGTGTAGAAGCTGGGCCTCTTTGCTCATTCTGTCTTACAAGGGCACCCTGCAGTAGCCTGGAAGAAAGGCTTTGTTCCTGCATCCTGGGGGCTTGTGGCACAGTGTACCTGAGGGAGAACTGGAGGAGCCCAGCACTAGCACTGTGGCCCCATCCCCCACTTAAGTTAGGGACTCTTCTTTCCTTGCCCCAGAAAACAGCTGCTGGAAGGGTTCCTAAGGAGGAAGCCTCTTAAAAGTAATAGAGTTGCTTTGGGAATGGGGCAAACTAGAGGGAGTCTGCAGAGAAAGACATCATCTGGAAACTTTTCAAAAAGAGTTAACATGGAATAGCAACAGGTAGGGGAGAGCTCCAACATGTTGTGTTGGTGCCCCCTTCTGGCTGATAGAGAGCAGAGCTGGTGAAAAATGGTTGTTGGCTTTCCAACAGTGTACCTTCCTAAGGGCACTGACCCCAAGGGGGTATCATGAACATTCAGTGAGCCTTGATGTAGTAACAGATTCACCTTTCCTTTGAACAACCAGTATTCAAGGGTAGTGAGATTGGTATTTTCCTGGGCTCAAGTTTGGCTTCGCTCAAGTTAGGCTTCTCTAGACCTTATGTCTTCCCTCCTTTACCTCCTTCTGACTTTTGACCGTTAAATTGTAGATGGTGAGTGGAAGCACTTAGCAAACCTTTCATTTCCCAGCTGAAGAATTTTTAGGGAAAGCATGCCTAGCACTCTCTTTTCAAGGTATTTGCAGAAAGCCAACTAACTAGTTTAGCAGCAAGCTAATGTAGTTCAGTTCATTAGGTATTGATTGGTTACATACTGTGCCAGGCCCTGTGCAGGGGTGCTGGTGACACAAAGATGAAGAAGTCTTTGCCCTGGAGGAAAGACTGTATAATGTTGTGATTAAGAGCTTGTGCTTTGGAGTCAGACCGACCTAGCTTTGAGTTCTGGCTTCACCACTCATTAGCCATGTTCACCTGATCAAATGACAGTCTCTCTGAGCCTTAGTTTCTTTATCTGTCTAATGAGGATAATCCTAACAACCTCATAGGGTTATTAAGAGTAAGTCATGTAATATAGTAAGTGCTCAGTACATGATAGCTAAATTTTTTAAAGTATGCACAATTTAGTGAGACAAACGTAAACAGAGATGGTTGTAGTTTAGTGTGATGGCAAATATGGTAGGAAGAACTTAGGGGCTGTGAGAGTCCAAAAGTACTGTTAGCATGGAGTCTAAAAAAACACTTACCCGGACCACTGTCTTTTTAACTCCCTCCTGGGTCTTTTTTTCCCCACAGGCATACTTTTTTGATGCACCAGAGATGGACCATCTCCCAACAACTACAGCTACTCCAAACCAAACAGTTGCTGCAGCCAAGTCCAGCTAATGAGGAAAGTAAGAGATTCTATTTTTATTTTGCTGTGTGGTGCCATAAAACATGGGCAGGTGTATCAATTCTGTTAGTGTTAGCTTTAAGCACAGAGGGCCAGACCCTTTCATCCTTCTGCACAGTTCAGCGTGGGTTTGTGCATGTGCATGTCTGTGTTTCTGTGTTCCTCTTATTGAAGTCCTCTGTTTTGAAATCCACATGATACTGGCTTTATAGAGTTGGATAACATGAGCTCTTAGGTTCTTCTGTAAGAGGAGCTCCTGCCTTTGGTCCCAGTAGAGGGGACTCTCTTCTCCCTGAACCCTTTCCTAGAACACAATATGGGTTTGTTCCATTTTATAACAATCCTGGTGGTTTTTTCTTTTTTCTTTTTCTTACTTTCTTTTTTTCTTTTTGAGACAGAGTTTCGCTCTTGTTGCCCAAGCTGGAGTGCAATGGCATGATCTCAGCTCAGTGCAGCCTCCATCTCCTGGGTTCAAGCGATTCTCCTGCCTCAGCCTCCTGAGTAGCTGGGATTACAGGTGGGTGCCACTACTGCCTGGCTAATTTTTGTATTTTTATTAGAGATGGGGTTTCACCATGCTGGCCAGGCTGGTCTTGAACTCCTGACCTCAGGTGATCCACCTGCCTCGGCCACCCAAAGTGCTGGGATTACAGGCGTGAGCCACCGTGCCCGGCCATTTATCTGGTCATATAATTTATCTGGTGATCCCATTACACTTTGTATTAAGTATCACTCTCATGGTGCTTGAAACACTAATGGCTGACTAATCATGTGTCCATCTGCCTATTCATTAATTTGTTCGGCTATTTATTCATTCATTTGTCCACTGTATACTACAATGTCTCCCCAGTTAGGCTCAGCTCGACAAGAACAAGGCATGGTGTTACTCTATATCTTCATTGCCTACCACATAACCTAGTATACATAGGGCACTCAGTAAATATTTGTGGCATGAATAAATGAAGCCACACTCTGCACATGATCTTGCTGCAGGACAAGAACCTTTACTTTGCTGTGTAATCACAGACTGTCCTTTCTGTCCAAGCTGCTCTCTCCCAGAGGCATGAGATGTGTGCAAAAACCAGGGGCTTAGAATTAAATAAAATTACAATTAAATCCCAGGTCAGCTATGGTGGCTCACACCTGTAATCCCAGCACTCTGGGAGGCCAAGGCAGGCAGATCACTTGAGCTCAAGAGTTTGAGACCAACCTGGGCAATGCGGCAAAACCCCGTTTCTACAAACAATACAAAAAATTAGCTTGGCATGGTGGCATGCTCCTGTAGTCCCAACTAGTTGGGAGGCTGGGGTTGGAGGATCACTTGAGCCTGGGAGATGGAGGTTAAAGTGAGCTGTGATTGTGCCACTGCATTCTAGCCTGGATGATAGAGAGAGAACCTGTCTCTAATAATAATAATGATAAATCCCAGCCCTACCATGTACTAGCAATGTGCCTTGGGTAAGGGGCTTACTCTCTTTGAGCTTCAGCTAACTTGTCTTTACAATAAGAATGACACAAACTATATAAGATTGTAGTGAAGGTTGGAGATTATTTTTATAAAAGCTCCTGGCACATAGTTAAGGTGCTCAGCAATAAAATCAAAGCTACTGCCACTCTCAGAGTGCGTCAGTAGTTTATGTTTGGTGGCTCCCACTGACTTTACCTTGATCATTTTTTCCTTTTTGTAAAACAAATGGGGATTTTCCCTCTTAGTTGAGGAATCCAGGTTGTAGGCCCTGTAGGTTGACTAGATATGACTGGTCAAATGCTTTCCAGTTCCTTAATGGTAAGACAGTCACCCTGGCCAGTAGAATGACTGGGAACTATTGTAAAATGTCATAGTCTACCACTTTCGCCTCTTCCTCTCTTCTCATGGGTATGCGATGTTAGAATCAAAGAAGATCAGAGCCCTTGGAGACATTAAATAGCATGGGCTTCCCTCCTCATTTTACAATAAGGAAGCTGAGACCGAGAGAGGACAGTGCCTTACCCAAGGCCACCCCAGAGTTCTGGGGCAAACTAACATGTGTCTATCACATTCCATTTGACAAAACACTTTTTTTTTTTTTTTTTTTTGAGGTGGAGTCTCACTCTGTCGCCCAGGCTGGAGTGCAGTGGCGCAATCTTGGCCCACTGCAACCTCTGCCTCCCGGGTTCAAGAGATTCTCCTGCCTCAGCCTCCCAAGTAGCTGAGATTACAGGTGCCCGTCACCACACCTGGCTAATGTTTTGTATTTTTAATAGAGATAGGGTTTCACTATGTTGGCCAGGCTGGTCTCGAACTCCTGACCTTGTGAGCCACCCACCTTGGCCTCCCACAGTGCTGGGATTATAGGTGTGAGCCATCGCGCCCGGCCTGACAAAACATTTCCTAGTTTATTCTCTCATTGGCCACTCTTACTGGCCCTCTTGACCACATTGTATGTATAGATGAGAAGGCTGGGCTGAGTAAATCTGGGCTGACTAAGATCACCTACCTCTTAGAGGCAGAGCTGGGACTCATATCTAAGTCTTGGGAAGCCAATTTTTGAGGTTTTTCACTTTCCCATTTTTTAGACAAATGTTCTTTTTACCACTAAAACGTGCAGGTTCTCACTGCTAGCCTTTGGCTGTTTGATGGAGCCTTCCTCTGCGGGTCTAGAGGTGTTTAGTAGCAGTCTCCACACTCCTTTGATTGCATGTCTTATCAGCTGAGAGTTTGCGTGCTGTATTAATTATCTATTGCTGCCCAGTGGTATTACCACAATACACATTCTCACAGTTTCTGTGGGGCAGGACTGTGGGGATAGCTTAGCTTGCTCCTCTACTTCAGATTCTCTCTCAAGGCTGCAGTCAAAACATTGGCCAGGGCTGGTGTCTCACCTGAAGTCTAGACTGGGAAAAGATCTGCCTCCCAACTCACAAGGTTGTTGGCAGGATTCAATTCCTGTGGCTTCGTAGAATGAGGGCCTTCTTGCTGACGGTCATTTGGAGACCACCCTCAGTTGCTTGCCACGTGGGCCTCTCTGTATGATCACTCACTTCATCAAAGCCATAAAGGGAGAGAGAGGCAATCGAGTCTGATAGTGAGATGGAAGTTGCTGTCCTATATAATGTAAACATAGGAGAGATGGTCATCACCTTTACCATCTTCTATTGACTAGAAGCAAGTCACAGGTCTTGCCTACCTTCTAGGGGAGGCAATTACACAAGGGCATGAATGCCTGGAGACAGGCAGGGATCACTGGAGGCCATTTTAGATTCTCAGTCACAAGCACAAACTTGTGATACGTATATATTTGAAGTATTTGCATATACTGTTGTCAATCCATATAGGAACTATTAAAGCTTTAAATGCCATAGCCAAGTTGTCAGTTTAGCATTATGGGGCCAAGAAGGGAGGGACTCAGTTGGAGTTGGCCTGGAGGGAAGCTTCAGAGAGGGGCTCTTGTTTGAACTGGGTCATAAAGGTTGAGCACAGTCAGTTAGCTGTTCTGGAAAAAGTAGTCTGCTTCCCATGGCTTTTGGGAAGATGAAGACCTAGGCTGTACAGGGGAACCATGATAAGACGATGTGGACTCACATCACTGAGAACGAGACAATTCGAGCCCAGCTGGAGAGGGACAGAGGTAGAGAACACAATGGCAACAGTTTCCTGGGTCTCTCTTTTGGCCCAAAGTACCTGACATCGCCATGTTGAGGGTCTCTCTCAACCTGCCCCTGAGCTAGGACTTAAGTTATTTCATTTCATTTTGGTTGTAAAGGCCTTCAGAGAGTCAGAGCAGCATCTGAGAAGAGCCTGCCCCTCAGGGCCCTTGAAGACTTAGCAGACTGGTGTACACAGATTTGACGCCTCTGCGCTTTGCTCAGATCTATGAACTTGGCTGTTAGAGCCTCCATTTGGGTGTCAAGTCTCCAAATGAGGTAGTGATGAACAGCTTCTTTGCAGCCTCCCTGGCAGAAGCATCAATTGCTTTGCTGATAGAGAGGCTGTCCAGAGCCCTGAATGCTGCTGATTTACGAGCTGGCTGTGCCTTCTACTGTCATCTCTGGACTCCCAGCTTTCACTGAAAAATAAAGGCTTCTAATCTCACCAGTAACCTACCTTCCCCATGTAAATCTGTGTATTGGAAAACTTAGCCTAGAGCGCATTCCCAGGAGAGCATTGGAAGGCTTAGCTTAGAACACATTCCAGGGAGAACCCCTTCTCTCCCTGGAACCTCAGGATCATAGGGGAGCTTCCAGTTACAGTCATGCATTGCTTAATGATGGGATGCATTCTGAGACATGCGTCATTAGGCAGTTTCATCATTGTGCCAATATCATAGAATATACTTAAACAAACCTAGATGGTATAGCTTACAACACACTTATGTGGGATAGCCTATTGCTCCTAGGCTACAAACCTGTGTGGCATGTTGCTATACTGAATACAGCAGGCAGATGTAACCCAATCGTAAATATTTGTGTACCTAAACATAGAAAAGGTACAGTAAAAATATGGTGTGATCTCATGGGACCACCATTGTATACGTGGTCTGTTGTCAACTGAAACATCATTATGCAGTGTGGGACTGTACTTGTAATCAGCATGCTACCCCTATGTAAGTTATTGAAATAATATAAAGAATATCTGGCTTCCATCCTTCCTTCTTCATTAACTTTTCACATGAGGGCAGTGCTATGTCTTCTCTGAGCCAAGACCCTGGTAGAGCCTGGAAACTGTACCTGGGAAGCCCTGCTTTGGCTTGAGGGCTTGAGACCGCATCCAGATTGGGGTGAGCTTTCCAGGGGCAGTGACAGGTGGGGCTGTCCGGAGGAGGGCCATCAGCAGATAATCATATCGCAGTGTGATCAGGGCTTTAATTAATGATGCAGAGAGGGCTTCTGGAGAGTCCTTTGTCATTAAATCCTCCTGATTGGATACACAGGGTTTGTATGCAGTTATCCTGTCACTCGCTCACATTGTCAAGAGTGTTCATTTCACAAGCCTTGTCTACTTGGCAATTTCCTGTTTATTTTTCAGGACTCACTTGAGATACCCTCTCCTTGCTGAAGTTTTTCTTGACTTCTCCAGGTAGTATTACTTATTTTCTTTTCTGTGCTCTTCTACAGCTCTCGTATGTTCTTCTATTATGGCAGTTTGCTTATTCACTGTAACTTCATAGACTGAGAGTTCCTTGAGGGCAGAGCTTTATTTACCAATATAGCTCCCTAGCACCCAGCAGACACTTGGAGAAAGCTTCATTTGAACAAGTTGTTAGGCCAATCATATAGCATCAAAACTTTCCTGGATTTATGTGGCAGGTTACTTGGGAAATCTTTACTTGTTCATTCATTGAAGTTCTACTCTGTGCTGGTGAACAACGGAGATCAGTCCTTACCCTCCCAGATTCTATACTCCAGTTTTACATCTCATACGCCACACAGACTAGAAGGCCCTTTTACATTAAAGAGAGAAACATGATTATGGGAACTTCTCATTGGAACATCCCAGATCAGACTGTGGTGACATTGGAAGGTTTGGCTGCAGGGCTGAGGCAAGGAAAGGGACAGAGAATGCCCATGCGATAGTGCAGCCACCCAAGATGGGGAGCCAAAAATGGTCAGGAGTCAGGTCATAGGCCAAGAGGTGGTAGAGGCAATCTTCAAGAGGTAAGGAAGTGCTGGCTGATGGTGACATTAGGGACCAACTTTGGCACAAAGGGCAACAGCATCTTACTTTTCTCCCTCTGGCCTAAGTGCCAAGAATTCCCAACCTCTTCGCTTCTGGCCACCCATTAAAAGTTGGCAGCAGGAGAAGGAATTTTTTTTTTTCTTTTTTTTCAGACAGAGTCTCACTCTGTTGCCCAAGCTGGAGGACAGTGGTGCAATCTCGGCTCATTGCAACCTCCACCTCCCGGGTTCAAGTGATTCTCATACCTCAGCCTCCCGAGTAGCTGGGATTACAGGAATGCATCATCATGCCTGGCTAATTTTTCTGTATTTTTGGTAGAGATGGGGTTTTGCCATGTTGGCCAGGCTGGCCTCTAACTCCTGGCCTCAAGTGATCTGCCCACCTCAGCCTCCCAAAGTGCTGGGATTACAGGCATGAGTCACCATGCCTACCTGAGAAGGGAATTTTCTAGTCTTCATATTCTTCCCTAGTCTTGACATTGATTTGGAACAGACAGCTAGAAAGAGGAGAGAAAAACAGAGTATATATTTATGAATATAAAATCTTGAGTGCTTGCTCTGTGGGCCCGTTTGTCCCTACCTTTATTTAGCGTTTCAGAACCCAAGTTGATGGTTACTAAAAGGCTGATCAGGGCTTTAGGTTCTTTCATGCCAGCAAATTACAGCATCTGGCTTTCTCCAGCCACTTTTCACAGATATTTTGTTGGCAATGTTTCTCTTTTCTTGAGCCAGTAGACTTGGGCAGTTAGCCCTTGCCTTAGCCTCACCTTCGTGGTATCATCAAACGCTGACATCTGAATGTGGTATTGTCCTGTTGATGTCTCCAGGAAGGCCTAGCTCATTCTCCCAAGTGGAAGGCTATGCATTAGGAACTTATTCTCCACCATATTCCTTAGTCTTCCCTGGATTTAACTCTATCTCCAGCCCCTCTTTCCAAGTTTCCCTGTCTTGCAAATCCCCAGGTAGGTATACCAACAGTTGCCTCAAATTCATTACATTCCAAGCTATACTCATCCCCCACTACAACCAGATCCTCCTCATGTTTTCCTGTCTCAGGGAATGGCACCATCATTTATACTGTCCCTGACTGCAGAGTAGGTTAGATTCTTTATTACACCCTCGCCTGGCAAGTTAAGATTATAATTAAATAAATAATATTTTCTGTATTTGTTTGCCCTGTTGCTTCTCTTGGTAGACTGGTTCCTTGACAGTTGGGACCATGTCTGTCTTGTTCATCACTGTCCCCAGTACCTGGCACATGGGTCCTCAATATTTGTTGGATTAATTAAGAAATCCATCCAGTCACCCAAGATAGAAACCTCAGCATCAAGGTAGATTGTAGATTCCCCCCACTCACCTTCCACATAGTATCAGTCAGCAAGACCTGTCTTTTCTATCTCTGAAGTATTTTTCATCTCTGTCCTGTTGTTACCATACCCAGTGTTCAGGACCGATCATTTCATATTTGAACTGCAGCAGTAACATGATGGCTTTCTCCACTTCTTTTCTTTTTCTCCTTCCAATTCATCCTATACACAGCCACAGGGGTCTTTGAAAATTTATAATTCTGACCACGCCTTTAACTATGTCACTTCCCTACTTAGAAACTTTTTTTTTTTGGCCCCCTATTGCCCAAATAACAAAATTGAAACCCCCTGCATTGCCACAATCTATCCCTGATTTATTTGTCCTGCCTCATATCCTGCCATTATCTCCTGTATAACCTTACATTTCAATTACCACGGTTTTCCAGGTCCCAGATCTTTAAGTCCCTCCATATCCACTCTTATCTTTTCTCCTCTAGTGCTTAACACAGTGCTGTCACGGAGAAGAGAAAGAGAGAAGGATGGGCAAAGGTAGCTTTAGGATCTGGCTTGGAAAGGGTCACTGGGTTTCCAAGCAAATAGAAGAAAACTTTTTAAAGCATCATCTTTCTTCCAACACTAAGCTCTACTTTTAGCATCAAAATTAGACTCAAGCCTCAAGATTTAGGGAATTGGTGGCAGCAGACTGCTCCGGTGTTGGGAGTTATATCTCTAAACATACATGAATATCCTTTTCTACAATGTAGCTCTTTCCTGTCGGGGTGGGGGGGTGCTTTATCTTGAAAGTTTCCCGTTTTGTTTTTCAGTTCTCTTTTGTTTTTTGGAGCATGGTTCTTTGGGAAGTGGCATCCACTGCAGGAAAGCAGAATGAGCAGAGCCAGCAGAACTGATGGAGTGGCACAAATTCCCAGTGTCTGGATGGTGCCACACTGGCGCCTAATCACCCGTTTAACAAGCAGAAATTAAATGTTGCTCAGCACATGTGTCTTTCAGCTCTTCCTTTTCACCCATGGATGATCATTGCGAGCATGCGCTGATTGGACTGAAATGCCAGGGAATAGGTTAGGCATGCTCAGTGCCGTCCCTTTGCCACCACAGTCAAATGACATGCTTCACTGTGGTACCTTAATACCTGAAATAGAACCATGGAAAATTCTGATGTCCTCTCTCTGAATTATGTACAGACTACCTGGGGGATCCTCTTCTCTCCAAATGTTAGCCATCCTGAAGTAGCCGAACAGTAGAAACTTTGGTGGGGATTAACCGGGAGCTTGAAAATTTGTCTTTGGTAACCTGATACTGGACAGCTGAACTGAATGGCTGCAAAATAAATACCTCACATGATGTCTGTGTCTGCATTTTGTGACTTTGACCTCAAGTTTTTCCTTGATGGTTTGTCTGTACTGGAGGCTGCTGGGAATCTGATTGAATGTGCTCGGTGTTATGATGTGTGGATTAAAATGGGACATCTGAATGTTTCTTCCTATAAGAATGGAATATCAGTTTTAAAGAACACATTCGGCCAGAAGTTGTGGCTCACACCTGTAATCCCAGCACTTTGGGAGGCTAAGATGGGTGGATTGCTTGAGCCCAAGAGTTGAGACCAGCCTGGGCAACGTGGTGAAACCCAGTCTCTACAAAAAAAAAATACAAAAAATTAGCTGGGTGTAGTTGCACATGCCTGTAGTCCCAGCTACTTGAGAGGCTAAGGTGGGAGGTTTGCCAAGGTGATGTTAAGTATCCTCGAGAGGCTGAGCCTGGAGGTTGAGGCTGCAGTGAGCCACTCCAGCCTACGTGACAAAGTGAGACCTTTTCTTAAAAAAAAAAAAAAAAAAGTTCATTTACATCCCATTTTGACAAATTTCACAAAATTCTCTTAGGGTACTTGGAGTACCTGGCACTTTGACTTCCTGGCTAGTGTGCATTAAAGAGAGAAACCAGTGACACCGCAAAGAGCTTTAACATACTGTTTGTTCAAAATGCATATGATCTGGGAGGCTGAGCTTCTGATGGTCAGGATTACTGATCACCTACTGTTTCTGTTGTCCTCTGTATTAGTCTGTTTTCATGCTGCTGATAAAGACATACCCAAGACTGGGAAGAAAAAGAGGTTTAATTGGACTTGCAGTTCCACATGGCTGTGGAGGTCTCAGAATCATGGCAGGAGGCAAAAGGCACTTCTTACATGGTGGTGGCAAGAGATAATGAGGAGGATGCAAAAGCGGAAATCGTTGATAAAACCATCAGATCTTATTCACTACCATGAGAAGAGTATGGGGGAAACCACCCCCATGATTCAAATTATCTCCCACCGGGTCCCTACTACAACATGTGGAAATTATGGGAGTACAATTCAAGATGAGATTTGGGTGGGGACACAGAGCCAAACCATATCATCCTCTTCCAGACAGAATTCCCTATATATTTCTGAGATAGCTACAAAGACACATTTAGACTTAAAAGGTTGACCACGCAGGTAAAGGAAGACACATAAATCAGGCTACAATGAGCTTAACATCACCTTGGCAAACCTCCCATCAGATGCTGAATATCCCTCCATTAATTAACCAACGAATATATTCTGAGCACCTACTATGTGCTGGGTACTATTGTATGTACTGAGGCTAGAACAGTGAACAAAACAGACAAGCTCCCTGTTCTCCTGGATCTTACAGTCCAGTGATCACTGCTCAGTGGCTGCCGGCATCCGGCTTTCTCCAGGCAGCGTTTCGTCCTTCAATGGCCTGTTCTGTCAGAAGTGCCTCTGCAGCCATCACTGCGTGGTCTTTGCTCTGCCCCTGGGCCTCACAGAACAAGTGTGAGCCTTATTCCCTTCAGATGTTTGAAGACAGCTGTTTGTGTCCCTTGAGTCTTCTAAGTATTTTTTTTTTTTTTTGTCTTGCTCTGTCTCCCAGGCTGGAGTGCAGTGGAGCCATCATAGTCCACTGTAGCCTCAAACCCCTGGCTCAAGGGATCCTCCCACCTCAGCTTCTCAAGTTGCTAGGACTACAAGCTACTAAGTACTTTTAAGTCGGTATCACCGGTAAATTTTTCCAAAAATATGTTTAGAGATTCTATAATAAAGTGGCCAGGATTTAATTTTTAAGTAAGGATTTTGGACACAGCCAGCATTGTCAGCACCATTATCTTTATAGAAGAAAGGACATTATAATATCAAATAATCTGGAAGGACATAATCTTAGTACTAAAAACTTGGTAAGTTTAGCTTTATGAAAAACTGACTGTTAATTTTTTCTCACCTAGCCAAGACCAGTGAAAGTTTCGTGAACTAACCAGCACCACCATTTGGGAGCCACTGCCCTTGGGACCTCCATGCAGCTCTTACGAATTACATTCAGCTGTAAAAGAACCCTGAGAAGCAGTTAGCTTAAATAAATTTGCCGTTTTGTCTTTCCTATGTAAATAGAAATTTAGAGATAGTCTGAGGTTAACATGGCTGCTCCATGATGCCATCTCTTTTTATTTTTCTTCTGCCCAGCAGTCCTTAGCATGAATTTGTCATCTACTCCCAAGATGCCCGTGTTACCTCCAGCAAAGGGTAGGTGGTGCGGAGTGTGCCTCCAGGCCAAAAACCCGTGCCTGATCTTTCAGGCCTGACAAAGGCCTTACCCAACAGGCCTCTTGGGAAAAGCTGCCTGCCCACACCAGACTGGGTGCCCAGTGAGTGCCATGTGTCTCTGAAGGGACTACAGTCAAGGATACTCTTACGCATATCTGCGTTTCATGCCCAGGCTCCTCCATTTGGAGGCCTCCTAGCCATAGCCTTTTTCAGGTGCCTCTGCAGAGACCAATTTATCTATGGGGTACCGGGGAACTTGAAAATATTTTTTTCACTTCCAAGGCTCAGTACTTTTCTACTCCTAACCCTTCCCCCTCTTCCTCTTCTCAGTCCCCAGGCCCTGTGAAATGGCAGGAGCCTTTTGTTTAGGGATCAATTGGCAGTGAGACCATCCCCACATTTGCACTGATCCACCTGACCCTTGCCTGGCACTGGTTCATGGTGGGAAATGGAACATGAGGGGAGCCAGCGCTTTCTCCTGGTTAGCCTGTTGCTTGTACCATCACAGTAAGTGATGAAAGGCTTGCTGTTACTTCATTTTCACTTAACTGTACTCCAAGTCCTGGCAGCTCAGCTTTTTCTAGCTCAACTCAGCTCTTGACAGGCAGCAGGAAGGGAAAGGGTAAAAGAGGGTTGGCCAGTGGAGTTAGCCTGCCTTGTAATGAGCTTTCTCCAGAGAAAAAGTTCATGTCTTATTGGTTAGAACTGTATCCCACAGTTACCCCTAGCTGCAAGGGAGGCTGGGAAATACTCTTTAGCTGGGCACACTGTCACCCTGAATGAACCAGAATACTGTCGGTAAGGAAGGAAGACAGAATGGGTTTTAGACAGATAACTAGTACATCTTGGAGCCCCTCCTTTTACAAAAGTTGGTGGTGGTTTGTCCATTATCAGTTTGATTTAATTGGTTGGTATCATACAAAGAATTGAGAGAAATGAATGTTGGGAAAATGGCAGTGGCACTAGCATACTTTTTGAAGCTCCCTGAATTCTTTCATAGAAACAGGGCACCTGGGATAGCAAAATCAAAAACAAATCGGCATCTACAACAAAAGGTGAAAAGGTATCCCCACAAACCCAAAAATTCAAGCAGAGGGAATCTTCTGGCAGCGCCAAGACTGACATGGTATCAGCATTTTTATGGAAAGAACCACAGGAAAGCAACAGGGTATCTGCGAAATTGGAAAATAAGAGCACCCCAAAACAGCCAATAGGTACTCCCTGGAAAGTGCAATGGGCTAATAGGAGAACAGCAGCTGGAACTGGAGTTTCGTAATACCCAGTTTGCAGCACATGCATGCAAGGGATCCACAGCAAGTTCTGAAGAAGCTGGAGTAACCAGGCACCAGAAAAGAAACTGCACGGAGCAAAACGCAAGCGGAGCAGGCCAGGGATATTTGGGGCAAAGAAAAGAGAAGTCCAGATGAGAGTCGGGGAGGGGAACAGAGCAATGTCAGAAAGATGAAGCTGTATTTTTGAACATGTCATGGAAACAGAAAAGGAAGCTGTAAAGCCTTGAATTTGGAAAAGCTATTCTGCCTCACCTCTTCCTCCTAAATGTGCAGGAAAACTAATTTCACATAAAAAAGAGTAACAGAAAGGATCGCAGTCAAATCTTGTAATGAAGTTATTATATGAAAAATGAGAACAAGGAGCAGAATAACATCCCTAATGGTAATGAAAGCATTCCAGACAGTCATGCTCACAAAACCAGATAAAAGCCATAACTTAATGTTTTAAAATGAGCTAAAATAAGAAATGGTACAGGATATGAAAGAAAATCACTAATCAGAATTATAAGGCAGAAATTAGGTAATAGTACTGAGGAAAGAATTGGAAAGAAAAGAAAACTCATCTCACAAATGAAGGCTGAATTATAATAGAAGGGATATTAGAGTGAATGAGCACAACAGATAATGCTTTAAGGGAATAAAAAGTGAAAAAGGAGGAAAACAGATGAAATTCCAGAATGAATAAAGAGAAATCAAAGAACTTAAGAAAAAGTGACCAGTATGGGTCGGGCGCAGTGGCTCATGCCTGTAATCCCAGCACTTTGGGTGGCTGAGGCAGGTGGATCACCTGAGGTCAGGAGTTCAAGACCACCCTGGCCAACGTGGCGAAAACCTGTCTCTACTAAAAATACAAAAATTAGCCAGGCATGGTGGTAGGCGCCTGTAATCCCAGCTACTCAGGAGGCTGAGGCAGGAGAAGAACTTGGGAGGCAGAGGTTGCAGTGAGCCGAGATCGCACCATTGCACTCCAGCCTGGGCTACAGGGCAGGACTCCATCTCAAAAAAAAAAAAAAAAAAAAAAAAGTGACCAATATGGAAGATAGGCAGAGAAGATCTAAAGATGTATTATAGATGTCCAAAGAAGAAACAAAAGCCATGGAGAAAAATACATTTTTAAAAAACTATAAAATTTTCTGGAAAAAAATACTACATATAAAATGGGCACACTCATACCTGGGGAAATCAACACAGAAGATCAACACTGAGACACAGTTGGTGACACTGTTTTATGTCCAAAGACAGTGGTAACATAGATACCCAAAGAAAGAAAATATGAACTAAGGATTTTACATCTAGCCAAACTGACCACAGACAAGACGTTATCAATGTGAAAGAACACAGGGAATATTCCCATGAGACCTTTCCGAGGTATCTTCTAGAGAACGTACTTCAGACAACCCAAATGACTGTTAAGACATTGACATAGCAGTTGGTGAGCACGAAATACCTGTTCACATGTAGAACTTAATAATGCTTATAAGGGAGAAAATAGAATTTATAACGGTTATGTGCCCTTAAAATGAATCTACAGTATAACTAAAAAAAGAGGAAGGAGAATGGGGAGAGCATGTTTAAAGCAGAATAAATCTGCTGGTTGCCTTATAGATATAGCAAAACAACTTTGCTTCAAATCACCTGCTGGAGGATAAGAAGGGGAGGAGGAAGAAGTTACTAAATAACGTCTATGTTGTTCATAAGAGGAAAACAATAGACAATCATTACCTGTTTCCCAAACAGAGGGGATAAAAGATGTTATAGATAGGAAATGAGGCCGGGTGCAGTGGCTCACACCTGTAATCCCAGCACTTTGGGAGGCCGAGGTAGGCAGATCACCTAAGGTCAGGAGTTCAAGACCAGCCTGGCCAATATGGTGAAACCCTGTCTCTACTAAAAATACAAAAATTAGCCAGGTGTGGTGGTGCGTGCCTGTAATCCCAGCTACTTGGCAGGCTGAGGCAGGAGAATTGCTTGAACCCAGGGGGTGGAGGTTGCAGCTGAGCCGAGATGGTGCCACTGCACTCCAGCCTGGGCGACAGAGTAAGACTCCGTCTCAGGAAAAAAAAAAAAAAAAAAAAAGGAAATGATTAGAACAAAAATACAAACCTTTGTAAATTTTTTTTTTTTTTTTTTTTTTTTTTTTTTTTTTTTTTGAGACAGAGTCTTGCTCTGTTGCCCAGGCTGGAGTGCAGTAGCGTGATCTTGGGTCAGTGCAAGCTCTGCCTCCTGGGTTCACGCCATTCTCCTGCCTCAGCCTCCTGAGTAGCTGAGACTACAGGTGCCCATCACCACGCCCGGCTAATTTTTTGTATTTTTTTTTAGTAGAGATGGGGTTTCACCGTGTTAGCCAGGGTGGTCTTGATCTTCTGACCTCGTGATCCACGTAAATTTTTTTTAAAAAGCAAGCAAGCAAATAAGATATACCACTCTGAAAAATTATTTATATAAAAGAGCTGAAATGTTAAAATTGATAGGAGTGTGTGAGTCCGTGCTTCTTTTTACCTCAGCTTGGCTTACTCTCTAAAATATTTTATTTATATATATATATATATATATATAATCAGTCTTGAAGGGCAAGTGTGATAATTAAATTTATATGATATGACTTAGAGTGTCTAGTATATAATAAGCATTCAACCAAAACATGGTCTCTAGCCTTCTCATTTAGGGAGGGGCAAAGCCAGGACTTAAGTCCAGGACTGTCTGGCTCCAAAGTTTGCTCTTTCTCTACTATGCTACTGATGGCAGGATGTATTCAATAAGGGGTAGAATTCCAGGATTTTTAGAAGAGGAGGAATTCAACAGGAAATACTTCATGGAAGACATGGAATTTGAAGATGCAGAGAGTCCAGATTAAGCAGAGGTATGAAGGCAGAAAAAAATAAACATGATGTCATGATGTGTTGGTGAGGGGATGAAGGGTCTGTTAGATCGGCTTTAGTATCTTAAACCTGTACTTTGAGGCTTCATCCATTTTCCAAGAACAGCCTGTAAGCTAAAAACGGATAAAGCCATTTCTACCAGATGCATGCACTGGTTGGGAGTATGGTTGAAGAGAGTGAGTGTCTAAGGAGGAGGCCTTGTGTACTCGACAGAAGGGTCCTGACAGCAGGGACTGCACTCCTGTGTCTACCCCCACAGAGCCTAGCAAAGTGCCTGGCCGGTACTCATTGCTTGGTAAATGCTGGTGGGGTGAATTAATAAGGTGATGCATAAAACAAAGTTTTTCAAGGACTTTTCAAGTCCTCTTCAGGTAACTGCATTTATTGATTTACTACTGGTATCTTTGGGGATAGGTTAGGCTCTTCTAAAATAATCAAGAACTGGCCGGGTGCGGTGGCTCGCGCCTGTAATCCCAGCACTTCGGGAGGCCAAGGTGGGCGGATCACAAGGTCAGGAGATCGAGACCATCCTGGCTAACACACTGAAACCCCGTCTCTACTAAAAATAGAAAAAAAATTAGCTGGATGTGGTGGTGGGCACCTGTAGTCCCAGCTACTTAGGAGGCTGAGGCAGGAGAAAAGTGTGAACCCGGGAGGCGGAGCTTGCAGTGAGCCGAGATCGCGCCACTGCACTCCAGCCTGGGCGACAGAGCGAGACTCCATCTCAAAATAAATAAATAAATAAATAAATAAATAAATAAAAATAAATTTAAAAAATCAAGAATGGTAAGTTATAGTTTAAAGCAGCTTAAATCAAAGTTTTATTTCTTGGTCATGTTGTAAGTTAATCACAGGCTGGCAGGAGACTCTGTTCACTGTGGTCACTCAGGCATCTGGGGTGATGGAGTAACAAACATCTAAAATATTGTTGGTCAGTGTGCCAGAGGAAAGAGAGCTCTGGAGAGTCTCATAATGGCAATTAAATTCCACCGTTAAATGATATATGTTATTTCTCACAATTTATTGGCTAGAACTGTTACGTGGCCATACCTAACTTCAAAGGGGGCCACGAAGTGAAATCCTATCATGTGCCTGGAGTATTAATGACTGTCACATTATTTGAAGGGTGGGGGCTCAATTTAGATAGGTCCACAGAAATAAAAGTCCATAGAAATAAAAGTCCATAGAAATAAGGAACAGTGCACACCACACCTGTAATCCCAGCTACTTGGAAGGCTGAAGCAGGAGAATTGCTTGAACCCGGGAGGCAGAGGTTGCAGTGAGCCAAGATCGCATGCCATTATTGCCCTCCAGCCTGGGCGACAGAGTGAGACTCTGTCTCAAAAACAACAACAACAACAACAACAACAACAAAACAGTGCAGAACAGTGCACACTACTATCCCCCTTTTTACAGTTGAGAAAACTGAAGCACTAAGAGGTTGAGTTACTTGCTCAAGCTAACCACCCTGCCATGAAGCACGGAGCCAGGACTCATCCCCATTTGTCTGACTCTAAAGCCTTTACCTATTGCCTCGCATATGTATTTACGTGAAAAGCCTTTGATCCTGCCTCTTCCTCATATCCTTGGAAATGAGGCACTACGGAGCCTTACCTTCACCCACAGATTTTATTTTACTGTCTCTGTGTCACAGGCAGAGGGTTAAGTCAGTCTTTTTAACAAACTAGGCAGAAAAAAACTTTTAAAAAACCTTTAAAAAAAACTAGGAGAAAAAACATTAGAAAGCGTAGATTACACACTGTGCAATATGATGTGAGTTTCCCCTCCTGGATCTCCTTCTCTCTGCATCAGCCTTTACTTTGAGATTTCACCCCGAAGAAGCAGGCAGCAGAGGACAGCCCACCAAACTGCCAACCAGGAGTGCAGCCAGGCTCCAGAGAGGGGGCATCAAAGGAAGAAGGAGGAGCCTGACTTTTCTTTCCACGTTGCTATGCCTTTTGAATTCTTCCCAGAGGCTTGGAGTTTGGCAATAAAATAATAATAATAATAGATAGTTCAGAGTTATTCTGGGATTTGTGTTCTCCACACCCCACAGGTAAATATCATCTATATGTCTTAAATTTATTTTTTGTTTGACTCACCACAAAAATACTGTTGTACAAGAGACTTTGTATGTCCAAGGAGCTGTCTTTCAAAGTGAATGTCTTTTATTTTGTCTTTGCAAATAGCTAATCACATTTTATTTTATTTTATTTTATTTTAAGATAGAGTTTCACTCTTGTTGTCCAGGCTGGAGTGCAATCTTGGCTCACTGAAACCTCTGCCTCCCGGGTTCAAGCAATTCTTCTGCCTCAGCCTCCCGAGTAGCCAGGATTACAGGCATGCGCCACCATGCCTGGCTAATTTTGTATTTTTAGTAGAGATGGGGTTTCTCCATATTGGTCAGGATGGTCTTGAACTCTCGACCTCAGGTTATCCGCCCACCTCAGCCTCCCAAAGTGCTGGGATTACAGGCATGAGCCACTGTGCCTGGCCAGCTCATCACATTTTATCATGAGTTAGCAGCCTTTCTCTTGGAAGGACTGAATTTGAAACAGGTTACAGATTGGGAGAAAGAAGGGTTGTTTGCTACCACCACCCTTTATATTTTTTAGGCTATAAAGTATTAAAGGCTATGCAACAAGTGAAAATTTTGTAGTAAAAACTTCGGGAAAATGACAACTCATTTAAAAATATTAGGGCAATTTAAAAACAGAAAGGAATTCTCACATCCTTGTGTGTTGTTGGGCGAGACAGTGATGGTTTAAAATGAGATTCCAGAGTCTTCAGGGACTCCCATTATTCATATGTTAGATCTTCTTTGCCTATTTTCTCTATTTGTCACTTAAAATTGTTTTTGTTTCTTTATTCCTTTTTTGATTATAAAAGTTCTTCGTTTGTTATGACATTACTGTTGTGTTTCTTTGCTCTTCTAATTCAACTTCCATTTTATAATAATTGTTTAAATTTTGATTTCTTTCCTGAGTTCTATCACATAATTTCTGAGTTTTTCTAATACTAACTGGTATTGTTCTTCATGTCTTGTATCATTTTTTTTTTTTTAATTTTTAAAAACCAGAACTTTTTTTTTTTTTGAGACAGAGTCTCACTCTGTCACCCAGGCTGGAGTGCAGTGGCGCAATCTTGGCTCACTGCAACCTCTGCCTCCCAGATTCAAGTAATTCTGCTACCTTAGCCTCCCAAGTAACTGGGATTACAGGCTCCCACCACCATGCCCAGCTAATTTTTGTATTTTTAGTAGAGATGGGGTTTCACCATGTTGGCGAGGTTGTTCTTGAACTCCTGACCTCAAATGATCCACCTGCCTCAGCCTCCCAAAGTGCTAGGATTACAGGCATGAGCCACCACGCCCGGCCAACCAGAACATTTATTGGGTGACTAACCATCAAAATTCTTTTTTTTCCTTTTATTTATTTATTTATTTTTTGAGACAGAGTTTTACTCTTGTTGCCCAGGCTGGAGTGAAATTCTTAAGATGAACTGGATGCTGCAACAGCTGCCGTCTTAGGTCTAGGTGTTGTTCCTTCACGGAATCCCTGCCTGAATCTGTGGTATACACTTTTTAGGTGCCTCATTTGACTAGTCCTGGTGGTATTTCATCTTTCAGCATTGGTACTCCAGTGTTACTTCCTCTTGTGCTTGGCAAGGTGGCACATGTGCCACAGGTTGACTACTGAAGGGCATAGGCCTTAGGGGCACAGCAGCAGCACAACATGTGTGTCTTACTGCAATGCTTTCCAAACGATGGTGTTCCCTTTGTGGCTGAGACCAAAGAGGTCTTGTATCATTTAAAAAATTTATTCTATTTCAAATAATTAGTTTATAGCTTTCTTTTTCTTTTCTTTTCTTTTTTTTGAGATGCAGTCTCACTCTGTCTCCAGGCTAGAGTGCAGTGGCACGATCTCAGCTCACTGCAACCTCCACCTCCCTCGTTCAAGCTATTCTCCTGCCTCAGCTTCCTGAGTAGCTGGGACTACAGGCATGTGCCACCATGCCCAGCTAATTTTTGTATTTTTAGTAGAGACGGGGTTTCACCATGTTGGCCAGGATGTTCTCAATCTCCTGACCTTGTGATCCGCCCACCTTGGCCTCCCAAAGTAATTCAAACGGATTACAGGTGTGAGCCACCACACTCGGCCAGGTTATGGCTTTCAAAGGCTCAGAGAGCAACTTTGGATAGTTGCAGGCACTTCTGGGTGGTGCTTTCAGCAGCTACAGGGTGCTCAAATCAACAGAGTGGTTCTAACAGCAGCAGGGGCACCACCCTCAGCAGCTCAGCATTCAGTGTTGTCTCATGGCTCTAAATGGAAGCAGTAGCTTCCTGGTATTTGGGCAGTAACTCCATTCTGCTCTTAGCTACTACAGCCCCGTTCTTTCTTTCCTATGCTTTTTTAGCCTCTCCAACAACTTTGTTATCAATTCCCTGCATTAAATCCCCCTTTGATATAGGTATCAAAAGTTTTTGTCCTGAAGAAACACTGTCCAATATAGTTAATTTCTTCCACTCATTCATTATTCATTAAATAAAAATTCATTTATTACTTACTAATGTAATGGGTACTTTGGAAGCGATGATAAACAAGACAAAGTCCCTGCTCTTGTGAAGTCTGTATATTAGTGAGAAGTCAGACAATAAGAAGTAAACAAACAAGATGATTTAAGACTGTGATAGGTGCTATAAAAACAGAAGCAGAGGCTGGATGCGATGGCTGATGCCTGTAATCCCAGCACTTTGGGAGGCTGAGGCAGGCAGATCACCTGAGGTCAGGAGTTTGAGACCAGCCTGGCCAACATGGCAAAACCCCGTCTCTACTAAAAAATACAAAAATTAGCCAGCATGGTAGTATGCGCCTGTAATCCCAGCTACTCAAGAGGCTGAGGCAGGAGAATCACTTGAACCCGAGAGGCGGAGGTTGCAGTGAGCTGAGATCATGCCACTGCACTCCAGCCTGGGCAAAGGAGTGAGACTCTGTCTCAAAAAAAAAAAAAAATAGATGTGGCTTAAACAATAAATAATTGTCTCTCTTGTGTAAATGAAATTAGGAGGTAAAGGCAGGTAGCCTAGAACTGATATGGTTGCCATAAATAATCAAGTCTCCTTTAGGCTCAGTACTTCATTTTCCCTACAGTGTGACCCCCTTTCTGTGGTCCAGTATGGTGCTAGAGCTGCAGCCAACACATCCCAAATCCAGGCAGCTGAATGGAGGATGGGATTAAGAAGAGGCAAAGACCATCATGCAGTAGCTCCCTTTTAAGGGGGTTTCTAGGAAGCTACCATGCAATACTTTGATTATATTTTATTGGCCTGAACTCAGTCAGCTGGCCATACCTAGCTGCAAAAGAGGCTGGGAAATATAACTATATGCCCAGTTAAAAAACTGGGAGTTCAATTATTATGAAAGAAGGGGAGAATAGATATTGAGGCAGACAACGAGTAGTCTCTACCACAAGAACCTTAGAACCTGAGGTGTCTTTATGAACACGCATTTGGACTGATTTTTTTTTTTTTTGGACAGGGTCTCACTCTATGGCCCAGTCTGGAGTGTGATGGCGCCATCACTGCTCACTTCAGCCTGAACCTCCCAGGTTCAAGCAATTCTCCTGCCTCAGTCTATGGAGTAGCTTGGACTACAGGTGTGCACCACTACACCCGGCTAATTTAAAAAAAAGTTTGTTGTTGTTGTTGTTGTTGTTTTTGTGGAGATGAGGTCTCACTATGTTGCCCAGGCTGGTCTCAAACTCCTGGCTTGTGATCCTCCTGCCTTGGCCTCCCAAAGTGCTGGGATTACAGGTGTGAGCCACTGTGCCTGGCCTGGACTAATTCTTTACAAGTTTTCTCCACCACCGGATAGATCTCTTCACGGCAGAGACTTGATCTATCAGTTGTATTCCCAGTTTGTCCTACAGTGCTTTAGACATGATTGATAGTAACATGATTTTGGAAGTGAATAGGATATAATCTTAAAGCATTCAGGAAGCCATTGTTAGCAAACGTTGCAGAGCAGTAGGTGTGATCTCAATTCCTCTCACCAGCCTATGCATTTCCTTAGTCAGTAAATCACTGAATCTATTTCTGTCTTGAGTATTGCATGTTGACTGTGGCATGTGATTGAGCATAAAAAGGCGTTAGCGATATGCATCCAGAGATCTCACTGAGGTCTAAAGCACTGAGAAGACTTCATTAGGTGAAACTTGGGTTGGTGAAACACCTTTTTTCTTACTGGCAGTATATTAATGATAACATTTGTATAGCATATTATTTACATCCTCACAACATCACCAGGATATTTTTATTTTCATCCTTATCTTACTGTTGAAGAAATGGAGGCTCAGAGAAGATAAAAATATTCAATTTAGCAAGTGGCAGATCTGGAAGTAGAAACCAGATTTTATGAAACCAAAGGCATCTCTAGAGAATTTTTTTTTTATTTCAGTAAAATTACTGCGTACCTATTGTGGAGAAGACCACCACATCCTTTGGTTTCACTTTTAGGTGACTTATAAAGTAATAGGGAGAAATGAGGGCAGATCATTTTGCTAGCTCTAACTGAAGAATTCCAGTCAATCAATACTGTGGCTGTTATCGGCTTTATAAAAGACTACTATTCCCAGCATGCCTCAAGGCACCTCCAGGAAGACCTTGACTCCCAGCATTCTGTACTTTGGAACTCCGAGTCCCAGAATGCAACATTCCTCCTACTTCCTCTCAGGGGGCCGTCGAGACTACAGTTCCCAGCATGCAGCGCCGCCACCTGCTTCTGGCGCCCCGCTGGACCCTGCTTCGAAGGGACCGTTTGGTCGCCAGAGGGCGGTTCCTGGAGTTACAGCCGCGTTTGCGGGACGTGTCTGCGCGGCAGTCCTGGCCTGTTGAGCTTGTCCAGACGAAGCCTCGCAGGGATGGGTTGGAGCCTGGGCCGGGCTTCGCTCAGGCAGCGTTTGAGGCAGACCCAGCAGGGTCCTCCTGGGGCCTTCCTGCCTTTGAACTGCGGTGGCGGGCGGGCGCACGGTCTCCTGTACGCCCTAGACTAGGGGCCGCCATCTCCATGGCCACGGCCGTGAGCCGGCCCTGCGCCGGCAGGTCGCGGGACATACTGTGGCGCGTGAGTGCGGCGTGCACTGTGGCACGCACTGCCAGGGTCGGGCCGGGCGGGCAAGCTCTGATCGCGCGTGCGCGCTGGGCGGGGGAGGGCCGGTCCCGGGGCAGCGTGGAGAGAACGCGTGGGGAAGGCACCACTTGGGGGACTGATTGCAGGGTTGTGGGAAGTCCTGAGTGGAAGTTGGTTACGGGGTAGGAGAGGGGTCCTGAGTGGAAGGAAGCTGGTCAGAGTGGGACGGATGGACTGAATGGAAATTGGAATAGGGAGTGAGGCGGAGTTTTACGCAAGGGTACCGTATCCAGTAGGTGCAAAATAAATAACTTAATTTGTTTCGTTAAGAAGTGGGAAGGAATGCACGGAATTGGAAAGAAATGTGGCATTAGTAGAGGCTGGGGTTAGGGTCCAGTAAGCAGGGCAGGTGTTCTTTGTAAGGTAGAATGGGACTGAGCTGAGTGGAATAGTACTTCCTCCTTAAAGTTACGGAATTAACAGTACTACATCGCTTCTCTGGAGTGCAAAGAGAAAGAGGAGAAAGATCCCTTTTGGAAAAGTGCTTCTATCCCAGTGCACTGCCATCTCCCCTGTATTCCAAACTAAAAACTTTTGGGTCCGTAAGTCTTATCTTTTTTTTTTTTTGAGCCGGAGGCTCGCTCCCTGTTGCCCAGGCTGCAGTGCAATGGCGCGTTGTCGGCTCACTGCAACCCCCGCCTCCAGGGTTCAAGGAGTTCTGCCTCAGCTTCCCGAGGAGCGGGGATTATAGATACGCACCACTACGCCCAGCTAATTTTTGTATTTTTAGTAGAGATGGGGTTTCACCATGTTGGTCAGGCCGGTCTTGAACTCCTGACCTCAAGTGAGTCATCCGCCTCGGTCTCCCAAAGTGCTGAGATTACAGGCGTGAGCCACCGTGCCTGGCCTCTAAAATTTTTTTAAAAATTATTTTTATAATAGAGATACGATATCTTCTCCAGCCTGGTCTTGAGCTCCTGGGCTCAACTAGTCCTCCTGCCTCAGCCGCCTAACTATTTGGGACATCAGGTGCATGCCATCGTGCCTGGTGTATGTTTAGCATGCATGAGTACTTCATTCCTTTTTGTGGCTGAATAATCCACTGTATGGACATACCACATATTTTGTTTATCCATTCATCAGTATGTGGGTATTTGGGTTGTTGCCACCTTTGGCACTTGTGAGCCACCGCACTTGGCTGACAGTGTCTTCTGAAGCAAAAAAGTTTTAAATATTGCTGATGTCCAATTTATCTATATTTTTCTTTTGTTGCTTATGCTTTTGGTGTCATATCTAAGAAACCATTGCCAAATCCAAGATCATGAAGGTTTACTCCTATGTTTTCTTCCAAGAGTTTTATAGTTTTAGCTCTTACATGTAGGTCTTTAATCCATTTTGAGTTAATTTTTGTATAGAATGTGGGATAGGAGGCTGGGCGCTGTGGCTCACGCCTGTAATCTTAACACTTTGGGAGGCTGAGGTGGGAGGATCACTTGGGGTCAGGAGTTCGAGACCCCATCTCTACTGAAAAAAAAATTAGTCAGGTGTGGTGGCGGGCACCTGTAACCCCAGCTACTCAGGTGGCTGAGGCAGGAGAATCACTTGAACCCGGGAGGAGGAGGTTGCAGTGAGCTGAGATGGCACTGTTGCATCTAGCCTGGGGGACAGAGCGAGCTGTCTCAAAATCACAACATCAAAAAGAATGTGGGATAGGAGTTCAACTTTATTCTTTTTTTTTTTTTTTTTTGTTAGACAGAGTCTTGCTCTGTTGCCCGGGCTGGAATGATGCCTGGCTAATTTTTAAAAAATTTTTTATAGAGACAGGGTTTTACCATGTTGGCCAGGCTGGTCTCAAACTCCTGGCCTCAAGTGATCCGCCCACCCTGGCCTCCCAAAGTGCTGGGATACAGATGTGAGCCACCACGCCCGGCCTCAGCTTTTTGGTGGACTGCCTCCTAACTGCATTGTCTCTGGTTTGGTTCGTGTCCCAACTCCTCCATCTTCCTTAAAGCCAGCTTTCAGTAAACAGACATGTTTTACCTTGAGCAACATGAATTTGATTGTCACTTTCATGCTTAAAACCCCTCTATATCTTCTTGTATTATTCAGCAGTAAATATTTTCCTCCTATATGATAGATACGGGCAATTCAAACATGAATAGAATGCTACAGTGCCGTAGTTGCCCAGTAAAGGTTCATATCTGATGATTATAAATACAGTTACAGTATACAGGTGGTTCCCATAAAATGTGTACAGCCTTTATATATTAATATAGCTATCAATTAAGCCTAGAGAGACAAGTATTAGTTGCTCTAAAACAGCTGTAAATCAATGCCCACCACCCCTCATACAAAGTATGATATTTGATGTTGCACCTAACTTTGTACTAATGCAGGCATCAGCTCACTGATACTATAAATTCTTTAGTGGTACGTAATGTTATTACTAGTAGTGAATGTTTGAGTTACGGATTATGATCTGAGTTAGTGGTTAACATCCTGTATGAAAAGATAGGATTTGCATAACTGAAATAATTTAACTGACTTCATGAGTGAGGGTTTTTCTTTTTGTTTATAGGTTTTGGGCTGGAGGATAGTTGCAAGTATTGTTTGGTCAGTGCTATTTCTACCCATCTGCACCACAGTATTTATAATTTTCAGCAGGATTGATTTGTTTCATCCTATACAGTGGCTGTCTGGTAGGTGATACTCAACTTGGGGAGAAAGTTATAGGACCTACTTCTCAACATAAAAATTGCATTATGTTTCAAGCAGTTTATTTTCAATTACTGCCTATGTTATATTGACACATCAAAACATTCACTTTGAGATAATTTTAAGATGTCTCCTTCGTAACATAAATCACCTTTTTATTATGTAATAAGATTAATAAGCTTGTCAAAGACTGTGATCATAGGAACGAAAAGATCATTAGAAGACCCCATAAATGAAAACTTAGTTTCATTTGTTTTTCCTTTGGGCAGCTTTATTGAGATTGTTTGTCTCTTTAAAATACAGAATGGTTCCTGTCATCGATTCGAAATTGTGGGTAGAAAATATGACATGTACCTCTTTTAAAAATACGTCTAAAATTAAGAGCACTTGATTTCTTTTTTTGAAACAGAGTCTTGCTCTGTCACCCAGGCTGAGTGCAGTGGCTCAGTCTTGGCTCACTGCAACCTCTGCTTCCCATCTTCAAGCAATTCTTGTGCCTCAGCACGCGCCACCACGCCCGGCTGATTTTTGTATTTTTAGTAGATACGGGGTTTTGCCACGTTACCCAGGCTGGTCTTGAGCTCCTGACTTCAAGCAATCCACCTGCCTCAGCCTCCCGAAGTGCTGGGATTACAGGTGTGAGCCACCGCACCTGGCCTAAAATGTTCCTTAAATTCCTTAGAGACTAAGTAAAATTACTAAATGTATTAAAATTAACTTGTTTTCTGTTAATAACTACCCATTATTGCCTGTTTACCGTGTGCCAGCTCCTTACATATATTACTTCTTATCCTTCCTGTAACTCTGTGTAGTTAAGAGGTACTTTCTACTTTATAAATGGGATAACTGAGATTCAGGTTAAATAATCCATGCAGAGACACCCAGCTAGTGAGTAACTGATTTAGGATTGAAAATTGGTCTTTCTTTTGCCTTGTAAAGTGGGAAGTTGAGTTTTTAATTTCGTTTTTCACAAGAAAATGCCAGTTTTCAAGGAGTTGGACTCTTTACCCATGACCTTTGGAGATATTGGTGTTAAGTTTCTTGTTGACGTACGTCCATCACTTTTTCGATAGGTCCCACTGGTCAGGTGAAATTAAGCCATAAGCCAGCACAGGCATAGCAAATATTTCTATAGCCACCTTACCTGTGTCTGCTTCACTCACTGATCATGGCTCTCTGGTGGCAACCTTAGAGTACTCAATCTTGTATTTGAGAGCCATTACCAATTGTTCACAATTGGCACTGGGGACAAAAACTTTTTGCCATTTCATGGCCAGAGGTTTTTTAATCCTCATCACACTTTCTCTGCAGGTTGGATTTGATTTATGCCATTTTCCTCATCAGAAGCTTGGGTTTAATTGTAGATGCTTAGTAAATATTCCTCATTAATTTAGGTCAATGGGCCGAGTGTGGTGGCTCACCCCTGTAATCCCAGCACTTTGGGAGGCTGAGGCGGGCGGATTGCCTGAGCTCAGGAGTTTATGACCAGCCTGGGTGTGGTGGCATGCACCTGTAGTCCCAGCTACTCGGGAGGCTGAGGCAGGAGAATTGCTTAAAGGGGGAGTGGGGGGTGGAGGCTGCAGTGAGCTGAGATCACGCCACTTCACTCCAGCCTGGGTGACAGAGTGAGACTCCATCTCAAAAAAAAAAAAAATTTAGGTCAATGAATTGTACTTTTAAAAATAAGTGGTTAATTTTTAAGTCTTAGCAAACATGCTCTTATTTTTATTTCATTCATATTTTTAGGCATTATATATATATATTTTAAACTTTGAGATGGAATATCGATTGTTGAACTACTCTAAAATGTGAATGTATTAGTATTTCATGGGGGCATCCTGATTTTTTTGTTTTTGAGTTCCGCTCGTTTAGATGATGTAATGTATGGCTTATTCTATTTCCAAAAATGTTACTTTAGCTATATGAGGTAATTGCATTTATGAAGAAGAGATCTGAAAAGTATTCTTTATATTTTAAGAAAAAACTTTGTTGGTATATTACTAAAGATGATACTTCTCTTTCACATGATTAAATATTTGCATATGCGTGGCTGGGTGTGATGGCTCATACCTGTAATCCCAGCATTTTGGGAGGCCGAGGTGGGTGAATTACTTGAGGTCAGGAGTTTGAGACCAGCCTTGACAACATAGTGAGAACCCAAAAAATAGCCATGGCGGGCATCTGTAATCCCAGCTACTGGAAGGCTGAGGCAGGAGAATTGCTTGAACCCAGGAGGCGGATTGCAGTGAGCCAAGATTGAGCCACTACACTCCAGCCTGGGCAACAGAGCAATACTCTGTCTTGAAAGAAAGAAAGACAGAGAAAAGAAAGAAAGAAAGTTTTGCCATGTTCTAGTGTTTTGTCTGATGTTAACTGGGTCATTTAAGAAATTGTAGTATAATTTTAAAGTACCTGGGGCCAGGTACGAATAACTCACACTGTAACTCCTTTTTTCTCCCCCCCTTTGTTTTTGAAACAAGGTCTTTCTCTGTTGCCTAGGCTGGAGTGCAGTGGCATGATCACTGCTCACTGCAGCCTCAAACTCCCAGGCTCAAGTGATCTTCCCACTTCAGCCTCCTGAGTAGCTGGAGACTGCAGGTGTGCACCACCACACCTGGCTATCTTTGTATTTTTGTAGAGATAGGGTTTTGTCATGTGCCCAGGATGGTCTTGAGCTCCCTGGCTTAGTGATCCCCCCATGCCCAGCCCACACTGTAGTTCTTGAGTTGATATCTCATTGAACCTGTCAGTGGTGTACAATTAAATTCTTGAAGAAAAGATAACCTTTAAAATTAATGACAATTGTGGTTCAAGCTCTTTTTATATTGCAGTGTCCTGAACGTGACTACATGACTGAATAACCTTTACTAATTCATCTCTCTTGTGTTTTAGATTCTTTCAGTGACCTGTATAGTTCCTATGTAATCTTTTACTTCCTGCTGCTGTCAGTGGTAATAATAATAATAAGTATTTTCAATGTGGAGTTCTATGCAGGTGAGTTTTCAAATGTTAACCTTCTTAGAAATATGCGAATTTATTTAACTAAGGGAAGACTTAGTACATTTTATATGTGAATGTGTTTTGTGTCAAAAATTTAAAAACGTATACAGAATCATATGCTTCAAATGTTGTACCTTAAAATTTATTTGGGTGCTAGTTTCTGTTTTAAAAATATTTTTAGACTTTTTAGGACAAATATTATATGATTCTACTTATACGAGGTATCTGGAGTACTCAAATTCATAGAGAAAGAAAGTAGAATGCTGGTTACCAGGCGCTGGGGGAGGGGGAGTGGAGAATTGCTGTTTAATGGGTAGAGTTGTGGAAGATGGAAAAGTTTGGGAGCTGGATGGTGGTAGTGGTTATACAACAATATGAGTGTACTTATGCCGCAGAACTGTGTACTTAAAAATGGTTCGAATAGTGAATTTTATTATTTTACCACAATAAAAAAATTTAGACCTTTTAATAGTTCATAACTAGTATTAAAGCTGTGATTTAGCAGATACATTATGAAAAGAATTCCTTTATAGGGAAGACCAGGTGATTTCTAAGTTTTTTTTTCAAATATAATAATCTATAATACTGTGATTAAAAAAAAACTTATGTTTTGCCTTGGAGAATCACCTGCTGGATTCCAGAGCTTTTAATTTTTCTGTTTCTCTTCATATTCTTTCTGCCTTTTCAGATTCCTTGAGACTGCCTTTAAGATACAAGTTGTGGCAGATTCACATAAGGAAAAAAAGATACAATAAGAAGCTTTTCCTGACTCTTATTTTTTTACTATAACATCATTTTCCTTTTTTTTTTTTGAGACAGAGTCTCGCTCTGTCGCCAGGCTAGAGTGCAGTGGTGCGATCTCAGCTTACTGCAATCTCTGCCTCCTGGGTTCAAGTGATTCTCCTGCCTCAGCCTCCGGAGTAGCTGGGATTACAGGCACGCGCCACCACGCCCGGCTAATTTTTGTATTTTTAGAAGAGAGGGGGTTTCACCATGTTGGCCAGGATGGTCTTGATCTCTTGACCTTGTGATCTGCCCTCGGCCTCCCAAGTGCTGGGATTACAGGCGTGAGCCACTGCACCCAGCCCATTTTCCTTTTTTTAAACTTAAAAAAAATTTTTTAAATGTACATGTTCCATATGTGCTAACATGTCTAAACCTTAAATTAGTTTATCATAATGTCATGTTTTAGATTTTACATTTCATTGATTATATGAATATTCTGTTTATTTATTTATTTTATTATTATTATCATTTTTGAGACGGAGTCTTGCTCTGTCGCCCAGGCTGGAGTGCAGTGGCGCGATTTCGGCTCACTGCAAGCTCTGCCTCCTAGGTTCACGCCGTTCTCCCGCCTCAGCCTCCCAAGTAGCTGGGACTACAGGCACCCGCCACCATGCCTGGCTAATTTTGTTTTTGTATTTTTAGTAGAGACGGGGTTTCACCATGTTAGCCAGGATGGTCTCAATCTCCTCACCTCGTGATCGGCCTGCCTTGGCCTTCCAAAGTGCTGGAATTACAGGCATGAGCCACCATGCTTGGCCTATTTATTATTTTTTTTGAGAGAAACAGATGCGGTAGGATCATAGAATACTCAGACCGGGAGGAATTTTTTTTTTTTGAGACGGAGTTTCACTCTTGTTGCCCAGGCTGGAGTGCAATGGCGTGATCTCGGCTCACCGCAACCTCTGCCTCCCGGTTTCAAGCGATTCTCCTACCTCAGCCTCCTGAGTAGCTGGGATTACAGGCAGGCACCACCACACCTGGCTAATTTTTTCTATTTTTAGTAGAGATGGGATTTCTCCATGTTGGTCAGGCAGGTCTCAAACTCCTGACCTCAGGTGATCGGCCTGCCTCGGCCTTCCAAAGTGTTGGGATTACAAGCATGAGCCACCGCGCCCAGCCTACATCATTTGCCTTTTTAGTTCTTCAACACTTCCTTGTAAAATCTGGCGTAAAATTTCAAATTCTGACTTTGGATGTTACAATACGTATCCTTTTCCCTTGCTTGCTTTCTGTTTTTGGTCTCCAAGATGGAGTCCAGCTTTGTCGCCCAGGCTGGAGTGCAGTGGCACGATCTCGGCTCACTGCAACCTCCACCTCCCAGGTGCAAGCAATTCTCCTGCCTCAGCCGCCTGAGTAGCTGGGATTACAGGCGTATGCCACCATGCCTGGCTAATTTTTGTATTTTTAGTAGAGACGGGGTTTCACCATGTTGGTCAGGCTGGTCTCGAACTCCCGACCTCAAGTGATCCGCTTGCCTTGACCTCCCAAAGTGCTGTGATTACAGGTGTGAGCCACTGGGCCCAGCCTCGCTTTCTTTCTTTTTTTTTGAGATGGAGTCTCACTCTGTTGCCCAGGCTGGAGTGCAGTGGTATGGTCTTGGCTCGCTGACGCCTCTGCCTCCCGGGTTCAAGTGATTCTCCTGCCTCAACCTCCTGAGTAGCTGGGATTACAGTTGCCTGCCACCTCGCCCGTCTATTTTTTGTATTTTTAGTAGAGGTGGGGTTTCACCATATTGGCCAGGCTGGTCTCAAACTCCTGAACTCATGATCTGCCCACCTTGGCCTCCCAAAGTGCTGGGATTACAGGCATGAGCCACTGCACTCAGCCTGCTTTCTTAATTCCTCACTATTGACTAGTAAGCTTTTTCCATGCAAGCCCTATTCGAAACTCCTTGGCTTACAGCCACACTTAAACAGAGTGTTCTTTCATACTCTCCCATATGCTTGGGTCATCTTCTGTATGTAATATGTCAGTTGAGGGGTCCCCAGCCAGTCCTTCTTAAAGCCTGACTATTCACTTTGGCTCATTCCTTCAGTAACCATCCCTTATGCATTTACTATATGCCATGCATTGTGTGGAGAGAAAAGAGAAATGATAGGTCCCATCTTTCTCCAGAGATCGTGATTAATGGAGAGACAGTAAACATGAAGCATATTTGATTACAGTACATTGGATGGTAAGAGCTTGTATAGGAGCACCACTTGCCCCAGCATGGGGGAACTTGAGGAGATGATCCTTAAACCAAGCCTTGCAGGATGAGTTGAATTAAGTAGACAAAGAAGGAAAATGATGTTCTAGAGAGAAGGTATAGCATATAAAAAGGCTTAGTGACATGAGAGGGTTTGGTATATTTAGAGTGTTATAAGTTAGTTGCACAGTCAGTAGGACCTTGTGGGCATTTCTGGTTGGGAGGGAGAGGTCATAGGAACCTCTTCCTCAAAGTATAAAGCACCTGAAACTTGTCCCTTCATACTTAATTTTCTACCTCCTGCCATCTCTTTACTTTGAGTATAGTAAGAGCAAAATACCTACATAGATAGATCAGGGAACCCTAGGCTAGCTGTTTCCAAAGGTAAACATCCCTCATGTCCTACCCATAGTTGCCTCCCTAGCTCATTTGCAGAAAATGTTTTTGGATTGTCTGAAGGGTATTAAAAATCCCTATATAAGCATTTATCTTAGCATTTATGTTGTCAGTATTTACCTACTTTATGGTTTATTTTTCGTAAGTGGATTATATATTGACAGTTTCAAATGCTGATGGCAGGAGTTCTTTTTAAAAAGTAGGCCAGGCATGGTGGCTCGTGCCTGTAATCCCAACACTTTGGGAGGCCAAGGTGGGTGGATCACCTGAGGTCAGGAGTTTGAGACCAGCCTGACCAACATGGTGAAACCCCATCTCTACTAAAAATACAAAAACTAGCCAGGCATGGTGGCAGGCACCGGTAATCCCAGCTACTTGGGAGGCTGAGGCAGGAGAATCGCTTGAATCCAGGAGGCAGAGGTTGCAGTGAGCCAAGATTGCGCCACTGCACTCCAGCCTGGGCAACAAGAGCGAAACTCCGTCTCAAAAATAAATAAAATAAAATAAAATAAAATAAATAAATAAATAAATAAAAAGTCAGTATTCAGGAGCTGAACCCAGTCACTCTCCCACACTGCAAGACCATTACAGTAGTCCATATATGAAAAAAAAAATCATTATTCTTTTATGGTGCTTAGGAGAATACTAGGATAGGCACTATTGGAACTATTAGGAAATTTTAATGAAAAATGTTGATCATGCTGTCCTTAGGTTTCATCTCTAGATTCTTTGGGTTTTTTTGTGTCTGTTTATTCATGCTTTCCTCAAATTTTTTTAACTTAGAATTTTTAACTTTAAATTTTTCTGTATTGTATTTGCGTTGACTGTGGATTTCTCTCTGCCTTTGGAACATTTGTGCAAGGATGAGAGGGGATAGTTTAGATCCTCTAACTGCATATGCTGTAGGTTATAAAGCCACAGTAATGTGTTTCCTTTGCAGTTGTGCCTTCTATTCCTTGCTCCAGACTAGCTCTGATAGGGAAGATCATTCATCCTCAGCAACTCATGCACTCATTTATTCATGCTGCAATGGGAATGGTGATGGCCTGGTGTGCTGCAGTGATAACCCAGGGCCAGTACAGCTTTCTTGTGGTTCCCTGCACTGGTACTAACAGGTAATATTAAATATATATTTCCTTAGGAATCTCATTTACTTACTAAGCCAAAGGTGACCTATATAGGTTAATCCTATGAGTATTCTTTGCTTTCCAGACTTCTGCAAAAGGTGCTTTTTGCATATATCAAGTGTTTTTAATATTTTGTGTTTATTGATTTCAGCAATTAAAAAAATTTATTATGTGCAAGGTGCTATGCGATTTATGAGAGTGACTCAAACATAGACTATAAGCTCTTTGAGAGTTGAGAACAATAGAGAAATTAAGACATGGATGCAGAGGGATGTAATAGGATGAAGAAAGTGAGATGTGCAGACAAAACCTGTGGAGGTTCAGAAAACAAGAGGGATCCACACATGTTCTTGGAAGAGGTAGCATTTGGTTGGAGTTTGAAGGAAGGGTAGTATGGAAAGAATGAAGAAAAATTTTTAAAAATTATAACTGCCTTTTTATAGAGTGCTTTTATAATTTTGAAACTTGTATAGTTCTTGAACACATGGCATTGATACTAATTGCAAATTGATATTCTGACTTTAAAAATTAAAAAAGATTACTGGAAGCCAGGAGTGGTGGCATGTGCCTGTAGTCCCACTGCTTGGCAGGCTGAGGCAGGAGGATCCCTTGAGCTCAGGAATTAGAGGCTGCAGTGCCCTATGATTATGCCTGTGAATAGCTCCTGCACTCCAGCCTGGGCAGCATAGTGAGACCTTGTTTTTTTTTTTTTTTTTTTTAAACAAAGATGATTGGAGTGATCTTAAGTTCTCTATTTTCCACTGACTTTAAAACAGTGTTACATTATTACTACTGAATACTTGATTTTCTTTTTGCCTCCAGCTACTATTATATAAGGCAGGTTGTTTTTTCCCCCTTAATATCATAGGCTTTCTTTGGTAAAAACTGTCCTGTTGGTAAACATTAAATGATAAAAGACTGTGAGTACAGGACTACTATGAAAAAGGAAATCCCAAGTGCTCACCATGGATGAGTCTTGAATTCCTTTTTGCAC
This sequence comes from Homo sapiens, assembly GCF_000001405.40. Classification (NCBI taxonomy): domain Eukaryota; kingdom Metazoa; phylum Chordata; class Mammalia; order Primates; family Hominidae; genus Homo; species Homo sapiens. The sequence goes on along the minus strand of NC_000001.11, from coordinate 53,826,992 downwards.
TTCTCTTCCTAATGGAGGTGGCAGTGAAGTTCCAGGGAGCAGAAGGCAGCAGTAAGCTACAAGTTGTTGAAGACATTATAATGCCTATTACAAATATATTTCCTGATGATTTCACAGTCAGAATCTTTAACAAAACTAATCTTCATCATTTTGTAACTCGGAGTTCAGATAACAGTTAACCTTGAGTCTTACCTCTCATGGAGTTAGATGGTGGGGCAGGCCTACAACCTGTGTGCCTCTATTAAAAATTGAGTTCTACTGAATTTTGATGTTGGCTCTGTATACCCCCAGATATCTCATAGATCATAGAGATTCTCAAGAAACTCTCAAAGGAGTTTGAGAGCTTGTTGTTTACCAAATAGATCTTATGCTTATAATTAAAGCTATTGTAAAATGATAGGGTAGTGGCTTAAAGCAGTGTCCAGCAGGGGGATCCTCTTAGATTTGGGAAGCATCAGGAGTTCCTCTTCAGCAGGAGTCCTTCAGGCAGTTCAAACAGATGATAAGTCCCATAGCCACCTGGGAGCTGCAGTCTTGTCTGTGGATACCACTCAGCTACAAGGAGGAAAAAAAATCGGTATCGGACATGTATGGGACTCTATCTGCTTTAAAGGCCTTGTGCCCCACAAAATCCAGTAGCATCTCTTGTAGCAATTTTATGGGCACAGGATCCCCGTGAGGGAATACTCAGTTTTAAAGAGATAACACAAACCCAATGTTATGGCATCTCTATCAGGTATATATAACTTATTTACAGTTGCTGTCAGCCCAGACACTTGTAAGCAATACTGCTTGTTATTATGGTAGATATACTTAATCATGTCAGATTTCCAGGGGAACAGAGGTAGAATTAATTAAAGATCAGAGTCTCATGATTCAGGAAAAAAGGTTTTGTTAATCTTGTTCACACTTACTGAAAACGAGCCATCTTGTTAGAATTTGGGACATTTCTTAAGTCATTAAAGTAATTAAGCTTTGCCTTCAGTAAACATTGAGCCTAAAACAGTGATACATGTCCCTGACTGTTGAATTAATAACTTAATTTTTTCCCTTCAGCTTTGGTAGCCCTGCTGCGCAAACCTGCTTAAATGAATATCATCTTTTTTTCCTACTGACTGGAGCATTTATGGGCTATAGCTATAGCCTCCTGTATTTTGTTAACAACATGAACTATCTTCCATTTCCCATCATACAGGTAAGATCATTTGAGCATTACTTGATGTCAAAATTTGGCTGAGGTAAAATTGCCTTGGTGCATATGTATATAACTGGATTTATCTGATTCATTCAAGATTTGATAACCAACACTTAGAACTGAAATCCTCAAAATGCCATTTAGCGAGAAGAGATTTGTCTTCATGAGACTTAAGCATATTTTTGAGAGTTGCAGCTACCTTTTCCTGTTGCCAATCTCAGAATACCTCTTTGCTACACTGTTTCCCTCCCTGCTAGGTAGTGGCACTTGCTGTGACCCAGCAGGGTTTGGGGAAGATGATGATGACATTCATGCAAAGTACTCTGTGTAGCTTCTTTTTTTTTGGAGACAGTCTCGCTTCTTTGCCCAGGCTGGAGTGCAATGGCGCAATCTCGGCTCACTGCAACCTCCGCCTCCTGGGTTCAAGCAATTCTCCTGCCTCAGCCTCCACATGCCATCACGCCCAGTTCATTTTTGTGTTTTTAGTAGTGACGGGGTTTCACCATATTGGCCAGGGTGGTCTTGAACTCCTGACCTCAAGTAATCCCCCCACCTCAGCCTCCCAAAGTGCTGGAATTACAGGCATGAGCCACCACGCCCAGCCGCTGCTCTTTTTTTCTTTTTTGAGACAGAGTCTCACTCTGTCACCCAGGCTGGAGTGCAGTGGCGTGGTCACGGTTCACTGCAGCATCACCTGCTGGCTCAAGCCATCCTCCCACCTCAGTCTGCCCGAGTATCTGGGACTACAGGTGTGCACCACTGTGCCTGGCTAATTTTTGTATTTTTTGTAGAGATGGGGTTTCTCCATGTTGCCCAGGCTGGTCTCCAGCTCCTGGGCTCAAGCTATCTGCCTGTGTTGATCTCCCAAAGTGCTGGGATTACAGGTGTGAGCCATCGTGGATGGCCTGCTGGCTTCTTTTTGAACTTAGAACCTTGTGAGTTTGGGGATGTGCAAGTAATTTTAGAACATATCACTTACTGTCTCCTATCATTTTCAGAACAAGGCAAAGTTTGTATAAATAAAACAGTTTCAGCTGGTTTGAGTGGTAGAGTATAAACTACCTTTCAGTTAAGTCTTAAAAATGTAATCTGGTAGGAGTCATTCCTGGAACTGAGAAGCACTCCTCTGGCAGGAGAGGGAAAGGTGGCTGAGATGTCTCACAGATGCATCAGGGCTCTTCGCAGCCTGTTTCTGCTGCTCCTCATTCGCACAATTCTATTACTTGCTTCATTCATGCCCTGGCAGGCTGAAGACTGGGCATTGGAGCAAAAATGTTAGAACTAGCCTCCCTCCCACTAGGACTCAGTCTGGTGGGGAGGGAGGGATATGTAAACAAATGGTATATTATTATAAGAGTATAACATATAAGAATGTGTTGGATTAACTAAAGTTTTTGGCTGGGCACATTGGCTTGTGCCTATAATCCAAGCACTTTGGGAGGCTGAGGTGGGAGGATTTCTTAAGCCCAGGACTTTGAGACCAGTCTGGGCAACATGGCTAGACCGTGTCTCTCTCTCTCTCTTTTTAAATTTCTTTTTCTTTTTTCTTTTTTTTTTTTTTTTCGAGAAAGGTTCTTGCTCTGTCACTCAGGCTGGAGCGCAGTAGCACGATCATCGCTCACTGCAGCTTTGACCTCCTGGCTCGAACAGTCCTCCTACCTCAGTCCTCCTGAGTAGCTGGGGCTACTGGCATGCACCACCAAGCCTGGCTACTTTTGTATTTTTTGTAGAGTGGGGTCTAGCTATGTTGCCCAAGCTGTTCTGACTCCTGGACTCAAACGATATACCCACCTCAGAATACAGGCATGAGCCACTATGCCTGGCTGAGACCCTATCTCTTTAAAAAAAGAAGAGAAAGAAAAAAGAAATAAAGTTTTCACATGCCTGTTGCATCCATGAGAACAAGCTAATGAAAATACACACACAGCAGGGAGATGGTGCCCACTGAAAAGGATCTGGCCCTCACCTCCCTGCAATCTGAGTGTATGAAAAAAAAGTCCTATCTAGAAATCCTTCATATCTTGTGAAGATGAATTAAAAGCAGGATGTCAACTTGGCTACCTCAAAATTTCACAAGGAGAAAAACTCCAAAATCTTATATAGAAATGTCCATAATAAATCATCTTTGATTCTAACAAAATTAAGAATATTAAAAATAAAAGAAAGTGTTAGGGAAAAATGAGATGCCCCACAATACCTTGCTGGACCTCCATGGTCCCCAGTTGAAAGTGACCATGTATTTAACACCACAGATATGCAGTAGAGTGCACATAGAAGTCTGATAGTTGACAATGCTGATAAATTATTGTTTCTACCATGTACTGTAAAAATTTGTAAAATTTTAGTACTTTCTTTTTGTAATTTCTTTTGGTAAAATGTTAGATTTATTCTTAATCCCAAAAGTTTATTCTATGATGGTAATATTCAGCTTTGGCTTCAGCTTTGACAGAGTATTGATTTTTGATAATTGGTAATTCAGTATTTGGTCAAAAAATATATATGGGGCATGTCTTGTAGCCATGAGTGTATAGTGGTATTGGTTTGCCCAGGTGGGCGCTGTTCTCCAGCCTGGGGATGGTTGGAGCAGGTGTTTTGCTGGGTGGTGTGGTGGAAGGGCAGTGGAATGAGGAAGCTGAAGATTTGGCAAGACTAGTGGAAATGATAGCTCTTGGTGCCCAGAACCATAGTTTCCTGCCTATCAGGTTTGTAAGTGTCTTGCCTGGCAGGGTAGGTTTGCCTCCCGAGAAGACTAAGAGGGAGGGAGGACACCGTAGCTTATCTTTCTTTCATTAGCTCTAGAAGTGTTTCACCTTTCCATGTGCATTTTAAGTTGCTAAGGAAGCAAGTTGGATTGTCAGGAAACTGCAAGTTTGATGTGAGAAGTCAGGCCCATTCCCATTCTGACCCTCTATAGAGCGCGATGTGATGATTGATAGCCAAGCTGACCAGAGAACTTTAGAGCTTAAAGAATTTTATAAGCAATAACAACCATTATCATTATCATCATTATTTATTTATTTATTTTTTGCCAGACAGTCTGAGTATGTTTATATCATCATTATTTTTGATGCTACCTGTCAGGTAGCTTTCCAAAGTGATAATATTTTTATTATAAAATATTTAAATATCATATTGATAAATTGAATGTTTCCTTGACCATCCCATGGCCAGTCTCAATCTTTGTCCCACTGGTAACCATTGTTACCAATGGGATTAAGGATATACACTAAACTGGTAACAGTTTACCGGTTAAAGGATATACACTAAACTGGTAGCAGTTTACCAGTTAAACTGCTACCAGTTTAGTATATATTCTTCCAGACCGTTTAGTGTACATTTACATGTATGTACCTATAACATTATATATTTTGTGAAGTGGGGTTTATATAAGTGGTTTTATCTTATATATATTATTCAGTAACTACTTTTTTCATGTAATTATGAAAATTTGAGGCTTTTTTTTGAGACGGAGTTTTGCTCTTGTCGCCCAGGCCGGAGTGCAGTGGCACAGTCCCGGCTCACTGCAACCTCCGCCTCCCAGGTTCAAGTAATTCTTCTGCCTCAGCCTCATGAGTAGCTGGGACTATAGGCGTGCGCTACCACGCCCAACTAATTTTTGTAGAAAAATTACGGCTTTTTAAAGATCTACTAATTTTAACCAATTTGCCATTAGTCCATTAGTTTTTTCTTTAAACTTGCCTACACTACTAAAACCAGTTCTATTGCCTTTATCAGATTCTTTGTTCTGTGAGTTACCAGGAGTGTAAAAAATACAAATAATAAAAAAGATGAAAACAAAATCACCCAACCAAAAAAGAACAGGAACAAAAATAATTCTTAATGATGGACCCATAGGGAAAAGCAGACTGTTAGTATGAAGTAGGGCACAAAGAAATGGACATCAAGACAACTATGCCAACAAGACTGTTGAAAGTATTACATTTATAGAGCATTTAGCATAGTGCCTGGCACACAGTAAATATTTAGTGAAGGGTAGTTCATAGCTACATCACAGAAGAAATCCAACAGAGAATTGAAAAACACTTCAGCATGGGAGCAAGAGGTGGGGGAAATGGTGTTTTCTGCCTGTCTGCTGAAATGTCGACCTGCTTCCCTAGCCTCTCTGAACCTTTGTGAAGAATGGTTGAGGTGAAAGCTATAGTAGGAATAGCATAGGAACTATGGCGTTTTTATTGGGGCAGGTGTGTGGTGGTGGTAGCACCCAGTGGCTACACAGAATAGTGCAATTCCACATCTTGTACTTTGAAAATATTTGAACAGACCAATATAATTGAAGCAATATGATTAGTGACCAAGTATTTATATGGGCTACTTTTTGTTTGTTTGTTTTCTTTTTGAGACAGTCTCGCTCTGTCACCTAGGCTGGAGTGCAGTGGCGCAGTCTCGGCTCACTGCAACTTGAACTCTCAGGTTCAAGCAGTCCTCCCAGCTCAGCCTTCCAAAGAGCTGGGATTGCAGGCGCCTGCCACCGTGCCTTATCTTACATATATTATTTTTGTATTTTTAGTAGAGACGGGGCTTTGCCATGATGGCCAGGCTGGTCTTGAACTCCTGGCCTCAAGTGATCTGCCCACCTTGTCCTCCCAAAGTTTTGGGATTACAGGCATGAGCCACTGCACCTGGCCTGGGCTGCTTTTTGTAAGATACTGTAGGCATCTCCATTCATAATATGAAGATATAGTTTCTGAATACTATAATTATTTGCTGTTCTTCAGCTTCTGAAATTCCTTAAGGAAGAATCAGTCGTAATATAAGCATAAAAGAAGACCAGGGCTGGGTGCAGTGGCTCATGCCTGTAATCCTAGCACTTTGGGAGGTCAAGGTGGGCAGATTGCCTGAGCTCAGGAGTTTGAGAGCAGCCTGGGCAATATGGCAAAACCCCATCTCTACTGAAAATATAAAAATTAGCCAGGCGTGGCGTGCCTATAGTCCTAGCTACTCAGGAGGCTGAGGCACAAGAATTGCTTGAACCTGGGAGGTAGAGGTAGCAGTGAGCTGAGATGGCACCACTTCACTTGAGTCTGGGAGGCAGAGCAAGACTCTTATCTCCAAAAAAAAAAAAAAAAAAAAAAAAAGAGAGAGAAGTACATCTTTTATTTTTTTCTTTTTCCTTAGATTCCTTCTAATCATTTATCTTGTTTTCCATTGGTATTTTAGGGGCAGAGACTGAGAAGGAGAGAGAGGTAGACAACCTTTGTTTCAGAAAACGTGTAGTTTTTTCAAGAAAAGACATTTTTTTTTTAATACTTTAAGTTTTAGGGTACATGTGCACAATGTGCAGGTTTGTTACGTATGTATACATGTGCCATGTTGGTGTGCTGCACCCATTAACTCATCATTTAACATTAGGTATATCTCCTAATGCTATCCCTCCCCACTCCCCGATTTTTTTTTCTTATTTGATTCCTTTTTCTTAGATCAAGCTTGTCCAACCTGTGGCCCAACATAAATTCATAAACTTTCTTTAAACATTATGAGATTTTTTTTTGCGATTTTGTTTTCTTTCTTTTTGTTTTTTTTTTGAGACAGAGTCTCACTCTGTTGCCCAGGCTGGAGTGCAGTGGTGCAGTCTTGGCTTACTGCAACCTCTGCCTCCTGGGTTCAAGTGATTCTCCTGCGTCAACCTCCCGAGTAGCTGCGATTACAGGCATGTGCCACCACACCTGGCTAATTTTTGTATTTGTAGTAGAGACGGGGTTTCACCACATTGGTCAGGCTGGTTACGAACCCCTGACCTCAAGTGACACACCTGCCTCAGGCCTCCCAAAGTGCTAGGATTACAGGTGTGAGCCACCGCACCCAGCCCTTTTTCTTTTCTTTTCTTTTTTTTTTAAGCTCATCAGCTATCATTAGTATTTTATGTGTCACCCAAGACAATTCTTCTTTCAGTGTGGCCCAGGGAAGCCAAAAGATAAGGCACCCCTGTCTTAGATCATTAGAATTTTCAGGTTCCCACTAAGGAACTATTTAGCTGGTTCAGCTTTCTTGTCTTTCACATAATTAGAGAGGAGGCATGACTTACTGAGGGTTGTACAGAAAGAGGGAGCACTAGAACTCACAATTCTTGATTCCTAGGCTAGTGTCTTCTTCACTGCCTCCCATTTTTTTGCAAAGAGCATTTTTAAAAATTCAGTGCAAAGGCAGTATGCATTATCTTTAAGATTGGAGGCTCTGAAGCCAGCCTGCCTGGATTGATAGCTCAGATTTTCCTTTTGCTGGTTGATAACATTGGTTGTTATTTAATCTCTCTGTGCCTTGTTTTCTTCATCTCTAAGATGAGGGTAGTAGTAAAAACTCCCTTACAGGGTTCTTATGAGGTTTAAATGAATTCAAATATGTAAAGTGCTTAGGACAGACAGTACCTGGTACATGGTAAGCAACAAAAAAATGTTAGCTGCTATTGTTACTGTGTTTCTTGTACTTTCTTCATCTGCATAGTGCTTAGTACCAAGTATGGATTGATATGGTTAATTTTCTTATTTCTGATTTTATATCAGTGAGATGTTGAATAATATAAATATTAATTTTTTAACATCTGAAATAGTTGATGTTTTTGCTTCTGCAATACTCTTTGTCTTCTTATACAATAATTATGTTTTCTATGTAGACTGTTACAGTAAAGTGCTTGCTTTAAGGTGATGTTGAGTGTATCATTTGATTTGAATGTGTCATTTGATTCTTTTTTTTTTCCCCACAGCAATACAAGTTCTTGCGTTTTAGGAGATCTCTGCTCTTATTAGTTAAACACAGTTGTGTGGAATCACTGTTCCTGGTTAGAAATTTCTGCATTTTATATTATTTTCTTGGTAAGAATTTCTGCTTTTTGATACAGTGATATATTATCTCATAGCCCAGAAAATGTCAGTTACAAAGTCATTCTTGTGTTTTTGTGTTTTCTACAGTTATAGGTATGTGATTAGCTCAACTGATTCATTGTTTAAATTGTCAAAGAGAATGTATTTAGGAAAATATTGTTGAAGAAAATGTGACATATGCCTATAACGAAATATTATTTAGCCTTTAAAAAGAAGGAAATCTTGTTATGTACTACAGCTTGAATAAACCTTGAGGACATTACGCTAAGTGAAATAAGCCAGTCACAAAAAGACAAATACTGTATGATTCCACTTATATGAGGTATCTAAAATAGTCAAACTCTTAAAAAACAGAATGGTGGTTGTCAGCCTGGAGAGTTGGGAAGGGGTGGAGTTGTTCAGTGGGTATAGAGTTTCAGTTTTGCAAAATGAAAAGTTCTAGAAATCTGTTGCACAAAAATGTGCATATAGTTAACACTACTGTATTGAACACTTAAAGATGGCTAAAATGGTAAATTTTTTTTTTTTTTTGATGATCTGTCACCCAGGCTGGAGCGTAATGGCGCGATCTTGGCTCACTGCAACCTCCGCCTCTTGGGTTCAAGTGATTCTCCTGCCTCAGCTTCCCAAGTAGCTGGGACCACTACCAGGCGTGCACCACCATACCCGGCTATTTTTTGTATTTTTAGTAGAGATGGGGTTTCACCATGTTGGCCAGGCTGGTCTTGGACTCTTGACCTCAGGTGATCCGCCCACCTCTGCCTCCCAAAGTGCTAGGATTACAGGCATGAGCCACCACGCCCGGCCTAAGATGGTAAATTTTATGTGTAGGTTTTTTACCACAATTAAAAACAAATGCATTCTTTTTTTAAGAAAGAAAAAATACTGTGCATCATTTGGTCATTACTCTATCTAGAAATGACATCCTCCTTTTTATAATTTGTAACTTGATACTAATACAATGTAAATATTTTGTTGGTAGGGGAAACTTGTGGAATTTATTAACATGAATATTAAGCACAAAAATCAGTTTATTATTTAGTATCATGAATAGTGCAAGGTGAAAACATTAATCTTGTTAGCAACATGTAATAATTTAAACAAAATCCTACCTTCAGAAATACTATTTTCAGATTATAACTTTTTCTGATCCTATATTTTCTATGGATATATATTTTATAAAATTCTTCTCACTGTGTATAGGCCATCCTGTTTATTTCTTTCACTTGTAGTTTATATAGTCCATTTCTACATAGCTCTTATGATTGTCATTCTTCTGTAAATACTTCACTGTCATGTTTTTCTTTTATATTTCTTCTTTCTTTCTTTCTGTAAGTTATTGGGGTACAGGTGGTATTTGGTTACAGGAGTAAATTCTTTAGTGGTAATTTGTGAGATTTAGGTGCACCCATCACCCAAGCAGTATACATTGCACCTTATTTGTAGTCTTTTATCCCTCATCCCCCTCCCACTCTTGCTTGCAAGTCCCCAAAGTCCATTGTATTATTCTTATGCCTTTGCATCCTCAGTTTAGCTCCCACGTATCAGTGAGAACATACAATGTTTGATTTTCCATTCCTGAGTTACTTCACTTAGGATAATAGTCTCCAGTCTCATCCAGGTCACTGCAAATGCTGATAATTCATTCCTTTTTATGTGCATAGTATTCCATCATATATATATACACAGTTTCTTTATCCACTCGTTGATTGATGGGCATTTGGGTTGGTTCCACAATTTTGCTATTGTGAATTGTGCTGCTATACATATGTGTGTGCAAGTATCCTTTTTGAATAATGACTTCTTTTCCTCTGAGTAGATACGCAGTAGTGGGATTGCGGGATCAAATGGTAGTTCTACTTTTAGTTCTTTAAGGAATCTCCACACTTTTCCATAGTGGCTGTACTAGTTTACATTCCCACAAGCAGTGTAGAAGTGTTCCTTGTTGACCGCATCCACGCCAACATCTACTGTTTTTTGATTTTTTGATTATGGCCATTCTTGGAGGAGTAAGGTGGTATTGCATTGTGGTTTTAATTTGCATTTCCCTGATCATTAGTGATATTGAGCATTTTTTCATATGTCATTTGCCATTTGTCATTTTCTATGTCATTGACTATTTGTATATCTTCTTTTAAGAATTGTCTATTCATGTCCTTAGCCCACTTTTTGATGGGATTGTTTGTTTTTTTTCTTACTGATTTGTTTGAGTTTGTTGTAGATTCCAGATATTAGTCCTTTGTCACATGTATAGATTGTAAAGATTTTCTCCCACTCTGTGGGTTGTCTGCTTACTTTGCTGTTTTTTTTTTTTTTGTTTTTTGTTTCCCCATGCAAAAGCTCTTTAGTTTAATTAGGTCCCAGCTATTTATCGTTGTTTTTATTGCATTTGCTTTTGGGCTTTTGGTCGTGAAATCCTTGCCTAAGCCAATGTCTAGAAGGGTTTTTTTCAATGTTATCTTCTAGAATTTTTATGGTTTCAGGTCTTAGGTTTAAGTCCTTAATCCATCTTGAGTTGATTTTTGTATAAGGTGAGAGATGAGGATCCAGTTTCATTCTTCTACATGTGGCTAGCCAATTATCCCAGCATCATTTGTTGAAAAGGGTGTCCTTTCCCCACTTTATGTTTTTGTTTGCTTTGTCGAAGATCAGTTGGCTGAAAGTATTTGGGTTTATTTCTGGGTTCTCTATCCTGCTCCATTGGTCTATGTGCGTATTTTCACACCAGTACCGCTCTGTTTTGGTGACTATGGCTTTATAGTATAGTTTGAAATCAGGTAGTGTGATGCCTCCAGATTTGTTCTTTTTGCCTAGTCTTGCTTTGGCTATGTGGGCTCTTTTTTGGTTCCATATGAATTTAAGAATTGTTTTTTCTAATTCTGTGAAGAATGATGGTGGTATTCTGATGGGGATTGTGTTGAATTTTTAGATTGCTTTTGGCAGTATGGTCATTTTCATAATATTAATTACCCATCCATGAGCATGGGATGTGTTTCCATTTGTTTGCGTTGCCTGATTTCTTTCAGCAATGTTTTGTAGTTTTCCTTGTAGAGATCTTTCGACTCCTTGGTTAGGTATACTCTTAAGTATTTTATTTTTTTTGCAGCTATTCTAAAAGGGTTTGAGTTCTTGATTTGATTCTCCACTTGGTCACTGTTGGTGTATAGAAGAGCTACTGATTTGTGTGCATTAATCTTGTAGCTGGAAACTTTGCTGAATTCTTTTATCAGTTCTAGGAACTTTCTGGAGGAGCCCTTAGGGTTTTTAAGGTAAACGATCATATCATCAGCAAACAGTGACAGTTTGACTTCCTTTTTACTGATTTGGATGCCTTTAAATTCTTTCTCTTGTCTCATTGCTCTAGCTAGGACTTCCAGTACTATGTTGAAGAGGAGTGGTGAGAGTGGGCATTCTTGTCTGTTCCAGTTCTCAGAGGGAATGCTTTCAGCTCTTCCCCATTCAGTGTTATGTTGGCTGTGGCTTTCTCATAGATGGCTTTTATTACATTAAGTTATGGCCCTTGTATGCCAATGTTGCTGAGAATTTTAATTATAAAGGAATGCTGGATTTTGTTGAATGTTTTTTCTGCATCTGTTGAGATGATCATGTGATTTTTGTTTTTAATTCTGTTTATGTGGTGTATCACATTTATTGACTTGTGTATGTTAAACCATCCCTGCATCCCTGGCATGAGACCCACTTTATCATGGTGGATTATCTTTTTGATATGTTGTTGGATTCCGTTAGCTAGTATTTTGTTAAGGATTTTAGCATCAATATTCATCAAGGATAACAGTCTGTAGTTTTTCTTTTTTGGTTGTGTCCCTTCTGATTTTGGTATTAGGGTGATGCTGGCTTCATAAAATGAATTAGGGAGGGTTCCTTCTTTATCTTGTGCAATAGTGTCAAAAGGATTGGTACTAATTCTTCTTTGAATGTCTGGTAGAATTCTGCTGTGAATCCATCTGGTCCTGGACTTTTTTTTGTTGGTAATTTTAAAATTACCATTTCAATCTCACTGCTTGTTATTGGTCTGTTCAGGTTATCTGATTCTTCCTGATTTAAGCTAGGAAGGTTGTATTTTTCCAGGAATTTATCTGTCTCTTCTAGGTTTGGCAGTTTATGTGCGTAAAGGTGTTGTTCATAGTAGTTGTGAACAATCTTTCATATTTCAGTGGTGTCAGTTGTAATATCTCCTGTTTTGTTTCTTAGTGAGGTTATTTGGATTTTCTCTCTTCTTTTTTTGGTTAATCTTGCTAATGGTCTATCAGTTTTACTTATCTTTTCAAAGAACCAGCTTTTTGTTTCATTTATCTTTTGTATTTTTGTTGTTGTTTTTGTTTCAAATTCATTTAGTTCTGCTCTGATCTCAGTTATTTCCTTTTTTCAGCTGGGTTTGGGTTTGATTTGTTATTTCTCTAGTTCCTTGAGGTGTGACCTTAGAATGTCAGTTTGTGCTCTTTCACTCTTTTTGATGTAGGTGCTTAGGGCTATGAACTTTCCTCTTAGCACCGCCTTTGCTGTATCCCAGAGGTTTTGATAGGTTGTGTCATTATTGTCATTCAGTTCAAAAAATTATTTTTTATTTATTTATTTATTTATTTTTTGAGACGGAGTCTTGCTCTGTTGCCCAGGCTGGAGTGCGATGGCGCGATCTTGACTCACTGCAAGCTCCACCTCCCGGGTTCACGCCATTCTCCTTCCTCAGCCTCCTGAGTAGCTGGAACTACAGGTGCCCGCCACCACGCCCGGCTACATTTTTTTGTATTTTTAGTAGAGACGGGGTTTCACAGTGTTGGCCAGGATGGTCTCGATCTCCTGACCTCGTGATCCACCCGCCTTGGCCTCCCAAAGTGCTGGGATTACAGGCATGAGCCACTGCGCCCAGCCAAAAAATTTTTTAATTTCCATCTTGATTTAGTTTTTGACCCAGTGCTCATTCAGGAGCAGATTATTTAATTGCCATGTATTTGCATGGTTCTGAAGGTTTCTTTTGGAGTTGATTTCCAGTTTTATTCCACTGTGATCTGAGAGAGTGCTTGATATAATTTCAGTTTTCTGAAATTTATTGAGGTTTGTTTTATGGCCTATCATATGGTCTATCTTGGAGAAAGTTCCATGTGCTGTTGAATAGAATGTGTATTCTATGGCTGTTGGATGAAATGTTCTGTATCTATCTGTTAAGTCCATTTGTTCCAGGTATAGTTTAAATCCATTGTTTTTTTGTTGACTTTCTGTTCTCATAACCTATCTAGTGTCGTCAGTGGATTATTGAAGTCCCCCACTATCGTGTTGCTGTCTATCTCATTTCTTAGGTCTGTTAGTAATTGTTTTATAAATTTGGGAGCTCCAATGTTAGATGCATATATGTTTAGGATTGTGATATTTTCCTGTTGGACGAGACCTTTTAACATTATATAATGTCCCTCTTTGTCTCTTTTAACTGCTGTTGCTTTAAAATTTGTTTTGTCTGATATAAGAATAGCTACCTCTGCTTGCTTTTAGTGTCCACTTGCATGAAATGCCTTTTTCCACCCTTTTACTTTAAGTTTATGTGGGTCCTTGTGTGTTAGGTGAGTCTCCTGAAGGCAGCAGATGGTTAGTTGGTGAGTTCTTATCCATTCTGTGGTTCTGTATCTTTTAAGTGGAGGATTTAGGCCATTTACATTCAATGTTAGTATTGAAATATTAGGTACCATCGAATTCACCATGCTTTTTGTTGCCTGTGTACTTGTTTGTTTGCTTTTTGTTTTTGCTTTTCAACATGTATTTTTGTTTTATAGGTCCTGTTTGATTTATGCTTTAAAGAGGTTCTGTTTTGATGTGTTTCCAGAATTTGTTTCAAGATTTAGAGCTCCTTTTAGCAGTTCTTGTAATGGTGGCTTGGTAATGGCGAATTCTCTCAGCATTTATTTGTCTGAAAAAGGCTGTATGTTTTCTTCATATATGATGCTTAGTTTCGCTGGATACAAAATTCTTGGCTGATAATTGTTTTGTTGGAGGAGGCTGAAGATAGAGCCCCAATCCCTTCTAGCTTGTCGGGTTTCTGCTGATAAATCTGCTGTTAATCTGATAGGTTTTCCTTTATAGGTTACCTGGTGCTTCTGTCTCACAGCTCTTAAAGATCCTTTCCTTCGTCTTAACTTTGGATAACCTGATGACAGTGTGCCTAGGCAAAGATCTTTTTGTGATGAATTTTTCAGGTGTTCTTTGGTGCTTCTTGTATTTGGATGTCTAGGTCTAGCAAGGCCAGGGAAGTTTTCCTTGATTATTCCCCCATATATGTTTTCCAAGCATTTAGAATTCTCTTCTTCCTCAGGAACATCGATTATTCTTAAGTTTGGTCGTATAACATAATCCCAGACTTCTTGGAGACCTTGTCCATATTCTCCTTTTTTTTCTTTGTCTTTGTTGGATTGGGTTAATTTGAAGATCTTGTCTTCAAGCTTTGAATTTCTTCTACTTGTTAAATTCTATTGCTGAGACTTTCCAGAGCATTTCGCATTTCTAAAAGTGAATCCAAAGTTTCCTGAATTTTTTATTGTTTTTTCTTTAAGCTATCTATTTCTATGAATATTTCTCCCTTCACTTCTTGTATCATTTTTTGGATTTCCTTGCATTGGGCTTCGCCTTTCTCTGGTCCCTCCCTGATTAGCCTAATAACTAACCTCCTGAATTCTTTTTCAGGTTAAGTCAGGGATTTCTTCTTGGTTTGGATCCATTACTGGTGAACTAGTGTGATTTTTTTTGGGGGTGTTGAAGAGCCTTGTATAGTCATATTACCAGGGTTGGTTTTCTGGTTCCTTCTCATTTGGGTAGGCTCTGTCAGAGGGAAGGTCTAGGGCTGAAGGCTGTTGTTCACATTCTTTTGTCCCACGAGGTGTTCCTTTGATGCAGTACTCTCCGCCTTTTCCTATGGATGTGGCTTCCTGTGAGCCGAACTGCAGTGATTGTTGTTTCTCTTCTGGGTCTAGCCACCCAGCGAGTCTGCCTGTCTCTGGGCTGATACTGGGGGTTGTCTGCACAGAGTCCTGTGATGTGAACTGTTTCTGGGTCTCTCAGGCATGGATACCAGTGCGTGTTCCAGTGGAGGTGGTGAGGGGGTGCAGTGGACTCCATGAGGGTTCTTAGCTTTGGTGGTTTAATGCTCTACTTTTGTGCTGATTGGGCCTCCTGCCAGGAGGTGGCGCTTTCCGGAAAACCTCAGCTGTAGTAGTGTGGAGAGGGACTGGCAGTGGGTGGGGCCCTAGAACTCCCAAGATTATATGTCCTTTGTATTGAGGTAGGGAAGGACCATCAGGTGGGGGTGGGGATAGGCGAGTCTGAGCTCAGACTCTCCTGGGTCAGTTTTTGCTGCAGCTGCTGTGGGGAATGGGAGTTAGATTCCTAGGTCACTGGAGTTGTGTGCCTAGGAGGATTATGGCTGCCTCTGCTGAGTCATGCAGGCTGTCAGGGAAGTGGGGGAAAGTGGCAGTCACAGGCCTCACCCAGGTCCCATGCAAACCAAAGGGCCAGTCTCACTCCCACCGCCCTGCAACAGCCCTGAGTCTGTTTCCAGGTGGAAGGCCAGATGGGCTTGAAAACTTGCCCTGGGCTACCCGCCTCCCAGCTGGGAGAGAAAAGAGCTTGGTTCTTGCCCCACCTGTGGAGTCTACACATTAGATTTGCCCTCTCCCCCAAGTTCTGGCCAGGAGGCTTCTTGCCCCATTTAAATTGTTACAAAGTTCAGCTGGAGATTTCCTTTTCCCTGTGGAGTTTTACTCCCTGCTCCTCTGGTCAACCTTCTGATGGATCCCTGTGGTGCCAGGCAGGAATGGCCTGCTAGGGAGTGCAGCAAGCTCCCAGGGCCTTTCTGCTGCTTCCTCTACCCCTGTATTTCGCTTGACTCTCTAAACTGGTTCAGCTCCAGGTAAGGTCAGAAACTTCTCCCACAGACAGACCTTCACCTTCTCCAGTGGGGGTGTGTGTTCAGAAGAGGAGGGTCTTCCTTTTCCACTTCCACAGTTGGGGCACTCACAGTATTTGGGGTGTCTCCCGGGTCCTCAGGAGCAGTCTGCTTCCTTCAGAGGGTCTGTGGGTCCTCTTGTGATTGCTGGTTTGTTCTTGCAGTCGATCTGGAGCTAAAAATCACAACACAAGCATCTGCAAGCTGCCCTGTTTGGAGCTGCAATCTAGTCCTGCCACCCATCTGCCATCATGATTAGTAGTGTCTCTTTTCTTTTAGAGATGGGGTCTTGCTATGTTGCCCAGGCTAGTCTTGAACTCTTGGCCTCAAGTGATCCTCCCACCTTGGCCTCCCAGAGTACTGGGATTATAGGCATGAGCCATCACGCTCAGCCTCATTGCAATGTATTGACCTACTACATACAGTCAGCCTGGTTGTTCCTCTAGAGTTGTTTATTTGGGCTATTTTTGTGACTATGATCATTTCCATGATTTGCTCTTTCTCCTATAACTTCATTTATGTTCAATTCAAATTTCGTTTTCAGCATTATCACTTTTCATTTCTTTGTTGCACTTTGATTTTTTTTTTTTTTGCCAGTTTCTTCTTTTTTTTAATTAAAACCATTTTATTTTTTATGGAACGCTTCATGAATTTGCATGTCATCCTTGCGCAGGGGTCATGCGCAATTCCCCTTTTAGTATGCGCAATTCCAATTTTAGTATATGTGCTGCTGAAGCAAGCACTACTTTCCTGTTTTAGCTATTCATTTTTTAAAAGTATCATTTGGATTTATTGTGGGAAACAAGGAGGCAACACAACTACATGCTTTGCTGTCTGTGTCTGTACTGAATAACAGATCCAAGTGACCAATCAGCAACAGACTTTGAGAGAATTGATGGGATTGGGTCACAGATTATAATGCACATCGGTTATCTACATATTGATTTGTGTCCTGAAAAGTTAGAAGTGCTATATGCAGTTGCTTATAGTTAATATACCACAGTAACTAGAGTTTGAACTGCATTTTTGGGTGACTGGTATTTTTTAACTAAACCATGGTAACTGAAATGTGTATATATCAGAACTGTACAAAGCAAAGACTGCCTGTGTTAATAAGTACTGTCTTTTCCTACTCATTCCTAATAAGTCTAACATTTTGACTGAGGTCTTGGTGTCTGTGTGGCCATGTCATTGACCTTATATTCTAAAGCTTGACTAAAACTTGTTTTATAACTTTTTATGTTCATAGCTTGGTATTTTTTCCCTTCAGGCTATATTCCCAAAGCTTGGATTAGCACTGCTATGAACCTTCACATAGATGAGTAAGTGATACCTAAAAAGTCTAATTTTAACTCTGTTTCCATTCTTTTAGATGTTTGCTATTTTCCAGATATTTTGTTTAGATTTTGCCTTTAACATTTTTTTAAAAATTGTATTCATTTTTGAATACATATAGTTTATATGGTTTAAAATTCCAAAGGTGTATAAAAGGGTAAAATTAGCAGGACTTGGTGGTACTTGCCTGTAGTCCCAGCTACTTGGGAGGTTGAGGCAGGAGGATCGCTTGAGCCCAGGAGTTCAAGGATGCGGTGAGCTATAATTGTGCCACTGCACTCCAGCCTAGGCAATAGAGCGAGACCCTGTCTCAAAAAGAAAATAATAATAATAGGGTATAAAATGAAAAAGTCTCCTCCTCTGTCTCCACTCACCCAGTTCTCCGCAGAAGTAAGCAATGATAATTGTTCTTAGATGCAGCTTTTATACTATACAAAAGTGGCTTTCTCGAGTTGCATGGACCAGGCCTCTGTTTCGTTTTTCTCCCCAACAATCATTCCTTCTCTGGTGTCTCATGATATATACCAATGCTGTGGCATTATTCTAATTTAGCCTATGAGAGGAAACCAAAATTGAGCAAGGTCAGGTAATCAGTTGAAGGTCACAAGTGGCAGTCAAGTGACAGCACGGTTGTATATTGTTGTAGTAATCTTCTATGCACTTTGCACATAAAGGTTTAATCTGTATTTGCCGAATAAAAGTCAGTCTCTCTCAGTGTTTGTTCTTATTGTATATTCCACTGTGAGGGTTTTTGTTTCATATATGGAATTCACTAATATCAGTTTTAGGGAGTGGGAATATTGACATACATGGTATTTAAGAGATATTATGGTTTCTCACTTTTCAAAGTTTCTAGGCAAAATTTAGTTTTGTCTTCTGCTTACTTGCTAGGTATGAAACCAAACGCATGAGTCATTTATTGTTTTAGCCCAGATTTTAAACTAGGTGAAATGGAAAGAGAAAAATAATAATGGCATTTGATAGAAATTTAACAATATTTTTTTCTTCCTTGCACTCAAAAAATGTTTTGTGTATATGGCTGAGTGCCTGATAATCTGTCCTTCATTTATGTCAGGGCCTCAGTAAAATGTTTACTTAGAAGTTAAAAATAACTTCATCATTGGTTGACTCCCCCAGTGAATGTCAAGCACTGTGCTGGGCACTCCTAATGTAAGCTGTTTTAAAAATTGTAATAGGACTAAGAGGAAGAATGAACATATTATGCCACTCTTATATGGATGAGGAAACCGCTGGTGGGATAGGTGGAGTGATTTACCTAATCACAACACTTAGAAATGGCAGAGTCAGGTTCCAATCCTGGTTTTCATAATTGCTGGTTGTAGGATTATAATAACTTTGCTAATTGATCTAGTCAAAGTTTTGGAAAGATGGCAGCATTAGCTTTACTTAGCAGTCTAACAGAGTGTCTTAAATTGCTTTAACATTGTTTAGTAGCATGTGCTTTTAACGACTATGAATCTGTGGTTTATAGGGCATAAGGATAAAGCTGAAATCTGGTCCAGGAGAAGTACTAGTCATGTTTAATGGTTTTGAGGTATTAGACTACAAAGCAACAATAATAAACTTTCACCCAGCTGCTCGTAGTGAGGCTTATAGGCTTAGCTCATTCCTCCTTCGTAGTAAAAGTCAGTGAAGATTTTGAACACAGGAAACTGTAGCCCCGATTTAGGTCTGTTCTTCCCTTAAAGCTCCCTCATGTACCTCATAAGAAAGTATTAGGGAAAGAGCTTTATAAAGATATCGAAGGAGAGGAGTCTGTCAACATTGTTATTTAGACATAATATTTGTGTCTCAATGTGGAGACTTAAGTGTGTTAATATTTAGATTGCATTTTTCCTAGAGGATTAATAGTAATTTCTGCATTCACAGGCAGGTTCATAGGCCACTTGACACAGTGAGTGGCCTCTTAAATCTCTCGTTACTCTACCATGTCTGGCTGTGTGGTGTCTTTCTCCTGACGACTTGGTATGTCTCATGGATACTCTTCAAAATCTATGCCACAGAGGTATGTTTTTTAAAATATTTTTTCTTAATACTTTTGTGTTTTGGAGTGCACAGTTGATTTTTAGCAGAGCACACTGATCAGCACACGCAAAACCATTTCCGTAAGCTGGTTTTTGGTCTCTCTTCTGAGACTCTTGGGGCCATATCATTTGTAACCACCATTTATGTGGTATTTTTTTTCAGAGGAACAGTGTGGATATTCACTTAATTTTTGGAGATTAAACTGAATGGACTGCCACTATGCTTTATTGACATCCTAGTTGTCTTCTGGGGGCTTCCATTTCTCTACTGAGTACATACTAAATGGACTTGAATTTTAAATTAATTTTCCATGTCATTGGCATAGCTACTATTAAAATATTTAAATATGTGGCAGTAAGAATTTTTTTTTTTTTTTTTTTTTTTTTTTTGAGATAGGGTCTCGCTCTGTCACCCAGGCTGGAGGGCAGTGGCCTGATCTTGGCTCACTGCAACGTCTGCCTCCCAGGTTCAAGTGATTCTCCCACCTCAGCTTCCCGAGTAGCTGGGACTACAGGCGTGTGCCACCATGCCCGGCTAATTTTTTTTGAATTTTAGTAGAGACAGGGTTTCACCATGTTGGCCAGGTTGGTGCCGAACTCCTGACCTCAAAATGATCTGTCCTCGACCTCTTAAAGTGCTGGGATTACAGGTGTGAGCCACTCCACCCAGCCAAGATATTTGTTTTCTGAAGGGAAGTTTTAAAATTTATATTAAAGAAATGATTTTGGAAATTGAGGTGAGCTTCTGGATAATTCCCACAGAAATCTTTTTAAGTGATTGAGAATTACATTGTTTTTATCATCCAAGTGTTTGTCTTAGAAAATTAGTGTTTCTGTTTTATTTTACAATCTCCGTAGGTTTGTATTCTTCAGTGGCTTCAGAGAATCCTTGTTTGTGAAAGTGGTTTTTATTATTCAGAGACAGAGTCTAATAAAGTTGGGAAAGTAACATTAAAAAAAATGGTGTGTTTGGGTTTATGTAACTTTAACCTGTCTTTGCAAGGAGCACGAAAGATGTCAGTTTGCTTGTGCTGTCTGTCTTTATGTTTTAATTTGTGCATGCTTATTGAATGTAAGATCATGAAAATAATCATTTTTGGTTTTTAATTTATTTGATAGGCTCATGTGTTTCCTGTTCAACCACCATTTGCAGAAGGGTCAGATGAGTGCCTTCCAAAAGTGTTAAATAGCAATCCTCCCCCCATCATAAAGGTATCCAAACTGTGTTGCATATCTTCACACAGTTTTCTCTAACTTTATTCAATACACTTAATATTTAGTATATTTAAGTAGTTGTATTTTTTGAGGGCCTATAATATTCTTGTACTGGTATGATAAAAATCACCTACTTGCTAATGCTGTTTATTTTTTCAATTTTCTTTCCAAGTGACTAAAATGCAAGTGCACAGTACAGTGTATGTGTATAAGCTAGTTAATTCTATATTCAGAAACAGATATAAGAATATTTCCAAGCATAAAATACAGTGATATGCAATCATCTACATTAACTTCTCACAAACTATTCATGATAGCATAACAAAATATTATTGATTTTTTTTTTTTGAGACGGAGTCTCGCTCTGTCGCCCAGGCTGGAGTGCAGTGGCGCGATCTCGGCTCACTGCAAGCTCCGCCTCCCGGGTTCACGCCATTCTCCTGCCTCAGCCTCCCGTGTAGCTGGGATTACAGGCGCCCGCTACCACGCCCGGCTAATTTTTTGTATTTTTAGTAGAGACGGGGTTTCACCGTGTTAGCCAGGATGGTCTCGATCTCCTGACCTCGTGATCCACCCGCCTCGGCCTCCCAAAGTGCTGGGATTACAGGCGTGAGCCACCGCGCCCGGCCAATATTATTGATTTTTTAATCACTGGATCAAAACATTTTTACTCTTGTAGTATTAGTTGGCTTTTGTGATCAAAAATAGCGCTTAGAAATGTATAGATATTTAGTGAACTCTCCTTAAATATGAATTGCTGGTAATGACCCTAAAACTAATTACAATCAAGAATTTAAAGAAGTTGTAGTAATTTTACAAATCAATCTAAGTAAGCATAAATGGTTTAGATTGAATTTGCAAGTTGAAATTTTAAACTAGATCTACAGTATGTGTGATCCTGTTAAAAGGTCCTTTAAAAAGAGCTAAAAGAGGCTGTGTGTGGTCTTCAGCACTTTGGGAGGCCGAGGTGAGAGGATCACTTGAGCCCAGGAGTTCAAGACCAGCTTGGAAAACATAGGGAGACCTCATCTCAACAAAAATTTAAAAATTAGTTGAATGGCATGGTGGCACATGCCTGTGGTCCCAGCTACTTGAGAGGTGGAGGCAATTGCATTCCTTGAGCCTAAGAGTTGGAGGCTGCAGTGAGCTGTGACCCTGCCACTGCACTCTAGCCTGCCACTGCACTTTAGCCTGGGTGGCAGAGTGAGACCCCATCTCTAAACAAACAAACAGAAATGCTAAAAGAAAGTAGTTAGAACCCAGTTTTGATCACACTCTAAAGAATTTATAAACAAATAAGAAAATAAATAGAATTACTTTTAAATATTAATTATAACTAATTTGTTAGAGAAACTTAAAAGTATCAGTTACTCATTTGGTTACTCACCAAATATTTATTTAGTGGTACGTCAGTCTCTGCTAGTTGTTTGTGGTAGAATGATGAATAAGACATAGCACAGCCTAGTAGAAAATACAGACGCCCAAAATAACTAAAATGTACTGTGGCAAATACATTGGGACCTCTTATTCAGCTTGGGACCAATGCAAGAAAACTTCAGAGAGGGATGGTATCTTGAAGGATGAGTAAAGGGGTTTGCCTGGGAAAAGATGAAGATTTTCAGTAAAGAAAAAAAAAAAATAGGGTGGCCGGGCATGGTGGCTCATGCCTGTAATCCCAGCACTTTGGGAGGCCAAGGCAGGTGGATCACTTGAGGTCAGGAGTTTGAGAACAACCTGGCCAACATGGTGAAACCCCATCTCTACTAAAAATACAGAAATCAGTTGAGTGTGCTGGTGTGTGCCTGTTGTCCCAGCCACTCGGGAGGCTGAGGCAGGAGAATTGCTTGAACCCGTAAGGCGGAGGTAGCAGTGAGCCGAGATCACATCACTGCACTCCAGCCTGGGCAACAGAGTGAGACTTTGTCTCAAAAAAAGGAAAAAAAAAATTAGGTATCACGTGCTAGGCACTGCCTTTGGATATGGTAGCAAGTAAGATTTTCCGTTTTCTTGTGGGCCGCACAGTTTGGTGGGTGGAATCAGATGGGACAAGTAAACATTCAATTACAATACATGATGTTAGTGCCATTGTTGAGAGCTATGTGAGTGTATGTTTGTGTGAGGGAAACCAGGGAAAATTCCAGGAGGAAGTGATGTTTCAATTTCCCACCGCAGATATATGAAAGAGCACAGAGAATTCTGTAGTTCCTTGTAGCTAGAACTTGTAGTAGGTAGGGAGGGTAGAGGCAGGAAAGTTCTGGAAGTCTAGAAAGGAAGGTTATGGTTCTGAGATTTTTTTTTTCATGAAAAAGTTTAATTAATTTCCTCTTGGATATATAATGATGAACCCAATTAGTGAGATTTTATGTAGAGGTTAAAAAAAATTAAATAATATGTGTTTTTTCCCCCTGTTAGTATTTAGCCTTGCAGGACCTGATGTTGCTTTCTCAATATTCTCCTTCACGAAGACAAGAAGTTTTCAGCCTCAGCCAACCAGGTATTGCTAAAAGTAATAGACTTGATTAGGCATATGTGTGTAGAAAGTAATTCACTTGGCCAGGCATGGTGGCTCAAGCCTGTAATCCCAGCACTTTGGGAGGCCGAGGCAGGCGGATCATGAGGTCAGGAGATCAAGACCATCCTGGCTAACACGGTGAAACCCTGTCTCTACTAAAGATACAAAAAATTAGCCGGGCGTGGTGGCGGGCGCCTGTAGTCCCAGCTGCTGGAAAGGCTGAGGCGGGAGAATGGCGTGAGCCTGGGAGGCGGAGCTTGCAGTGAGCCGAGATTGCGCTACTGCACTCCAGCCTGGGTGACAGAGTGAGACTCCGTCTCAAAAAGAAAAAAAAAATTAATTAACTTAAAGTTTTTGGTGAGAAAGATGTATTTAATAAAATATCAGATGTCAATGAGTCCATTAAATGAAGTATTGAATTAAATCTTACACAGCTTAAGAGTTTATTACCTTCAGCTCCTTCATTTCCTTAACCTGAAGAAATTATTTAGTACACTGACAATTTTAGGGCAGAAAAATACAGCTTAAGAATTCTAAAAGTTTGGCTGGGCGTGGTGGCTCACCCCTGTAATCCTAGCACTTTGGGAGGCCAAGGTGGGTGGATTACTTGAGCTTAGGAATTCGAGACCAGCCTGGGCAACATGATGAGACCGCTCTTCTACAAAAAATACAAAAAATTAGCCCAGCATGGTAGCATGTGCCTGTAGTCGCAGCTACTTGAGGAGCTGAGCTGGGAGGATTGCTTGAGCCCAGGAGGTTGATACTGCAGTAAGCCAAGATTGTGCCACTGTACTCTAGCCTGGGTGACAAAGTGAGAGCCTGTCCCCCTCCCCACCCCAAAAAAGAATTCTAAAACTTTTAATGCTACAAAGGATCTTAAAAATTAGGTGGTCTACTCTCTAGATGGGAGATTTAAGTCTCAGAGATTGGCTTAAATAAAGTTAATGTCAGAATTGGAATAAGAGTCCTGTCATTTGGCTCCATGTACAGGACTCCTCCTTCTGCTATGCTACTCTGCCTCCTTTTAAAAAAAAATTAGGAAGAAACTAGATTCAATGGTGACTCAAGGATGCTCTCAGCAACTCTGAAACACTTACAGTGTATACTGTTCTTGCCATGCTGTTCAAGACTGTGACTTTGCCAGTTCTCTGTTGTTCCTAGAGGGAAAACAGTCCAGTCCCAGGCACTGGTGGGAAACAGAGAACCTGGGTAGCCTTTCTTCTGTATTTTAAGAGACAGGGTCTCACTGTATCACCAGGCTGGAGTACAGTGTCATGATCACAGCTCACTGTAACCTCGAACTGCTGGGCTCATATGATCCTCTCGCCTCAGCCTTTCAAGTAGCTGGTATTATAGGGGCATACCAGGTGTGCACCACCACACCTGGCTAATTTTTAAAAATTTTTGTTGAAACAGGGTCTTGCCGTGTTTCCCAGGCTGGCCTTGAACTCCTGGGGTCAAGCAGTTCTCCTGCTTTGGCCTCCCAAAGTGTTAGAATTACAGGTGTGAGCCAGTACACTCAACCAGCTTTTCATCTTTTTTTTAATGATTTCTTCATTAGTTTGCCAAGCTTGCCAATTACCAGATAAAATACCAGATAATAAACCTTCTATAGTTAAATGTTATATGGAAATGAAATCCAGTTATATAAAAATGTAATTGACTGGAACCACTCTCCTTTTAGTAACATGAGAAACCCAGAGCTGATACTGTGGAAAATTAACTATAACAATGCTTTTCTATCAGATTTGAGTTAACATAGGAATTCTATACTCTAAATGTTTTTTACCAGATATTCAAGTAAACCGTAAAAGGGTGGCATTTGCTCTGCCAGAGAGTGTACATTCTAGCACATAAAAAAAATTTAATTGGATGGACGCAGCTCACGTCTGTAATCCCAGCACTTTGGGAGGCTGAGGCGGGAGGATCATCTGAGGTCAGGAGTTTCAACATGGTGAAACCCTGTCTCTACTAAAAATACAAAAATTAGCTGGGCATGGTGTTGCACACCTATAATCCCAGCTACTCGGGAGGCTGAGGCAGGAGAATTGCTTGAACCCCAGAGGCAGAGGTTGCAGTGAGCTGAGATCCTGCCACTGCACTCCAGCCTGGGCAACATAGCAAGATTCCATCACAAAAACAAACAAAAATTTAATTGGATGGTTACACAGTTCCTCATGTACCCAAATTACAGTAGTACAAAACATCCTGAGGCCTAGTGATAGAGTATTGTGTGTGTGTGTTTGTAGGTTAAGTGGTATTCCTGAGTTTTACAATGGGGGGAGTGTTTAAGGAGAGATCCAAGTGAAGAGGGAATGATCATTTGGCACATAGGATAGAGAAACCAGTTTTCAGTAGACTTCTCTGCTATTAACGCATAATGGAGCATGCTTGATTTTTATATAATAACTCTAGGCGACAAAGATCTACTATGAGAAATAAGGGAATTTTTAAAGGAATGGGGACACAGTAGTTTAAGTTAAATAATAAGATAATCTGTAAGCTCTCTGAGTGTAAAGTGTGATCATTATTAACGAGTCATTCCCACAGATGTAACAGCAAATAGGGGCTGTTATATACATGAAAATGTAAGGAAGCCCAGGGGGTCAGACGCAAAAGTTTAGAGGTCACTGGGGACCATGGAGGTGCATCTCACTGGACATCGTAGTGTTCATTGTCTTAGTTCATTGTTCACAGTCATAGCAGTCTGTTTAATACTGCTAGTGAAGTAACCCTGGTCTTTCTCGCTCAACCTATGATCTAGTGTTTGGCTTTATTTTAGCGACCAATTTGAGAGGTTTTTTGTTTTTTTTTTTTTTTGGTATGTGTGTGGTAAAATAGCAAGTTTTTGCTTGTAGACTTTTGGGAAACTTAATTCATCCAAGTATTCATTGAACTCCTGCTGTGTATTAGATGTCATGAGTATAAATAGTAGCTTCACTAAGAAAAGTGGGTCCTGATGCCAAGCATAATGTAGAATTTCTTACTGACTTTTTCCCCCACTTCAAGAGGGGAATGTAAGATTATTTACATTTTAAAAGCTGGTGTTTGGACCTCCTAGGTGGACATCCCCACAATTGGACAGCCATTTCAAGGGAGTGTTTGAATCTTTTAAATGGTATGACTCAGAAACTGATTCTCTATCAAGAAGCTGCTGCTACGAATGGGAGAGTGTCTTCATCTTACCCAGTGGAACCTAAGAAATTAAATTCTCCAGGTAATCCCTAGGACTACTAAGAGGGGAAAACATTTACATTTTATTTCCTAAGAAAGATGACTGTAGTAGACTGGGCGCTGTGGCTCACGCCTGTTATCCCCGCACTTTGGGAGGCCGAGGTGGGCGGATCATGAGGTCAAGAGATCGAGACCATCCTGACCCACATGGTGAAACTCTGTCTCTACTAAAAATACAAAAATTAGCTGGGCGTGGTGGCGTGCACCTGTAGTCCCAGCTACTCAGGAGGCTGAGGCAGGAGAACCAGGGAGGCGGAGTTTGCAGTGAGCTGAGATTGTGCCATTGCACTCCAGCCTGGCGACAGAGTGAGACTGTCTCAAAAAAAAAAAAAAAAAAAAAAAAGATGACTGTAGTTAATTGAAGGATACTTATATGAGTGTGAGGTGTATATTTTTAGGGAAAATTGATCCAACATATAGCATCTTATATTGAACCAAGAAAATGACGTGGGTATCATTGTAGATTGAAAAAATTAAGCCCAAAACATCACGTTGTACACTCTAAGTATATGCAGTTTTTCATTGGTTAATTTGAAACAAATTAAGTTCAGTGTGGTGGTAGCATTAAAAACACTACCAAAATGATGGCTATTAAATAGGAGACTTCAGCTTACTCTAGCACAAAGCCAGGTGAATTTTTGCAGACAATATCTGTTGCTGTTCTGGTTGCAGTAGTCCAGAGACAAAAAGTTGCTGTCCCAGAGAAGAGCAGCTGAGACGACTGGGTGATTTGGAAGTGGGGCATAATGTTAGTACCCCTTCCATTTAAAAGACAAAAGCTGAGAGGAAGAAGTAGAGGTGGAGGAACCTGTCTTGTTCACCAAATCCCTTAGGTAGAAGACACCTATGAATGTAAGACTGATAAAAGGACTTAATGTTCCATGTGTTTTGGAGCCAGGCATTTAGTGAAAATGGATGAAACTGGCTGGGTGAGGATGGTGGTGAACCTGTGAGCACAGGCTTCCTCTGAAGGGGGAAGCTGTTGGTTAGCCCTGCTTCATTGTTCCCATATGGGACTTTGGATCCCATATGTGAACTTCCGGTCTTTTTAAAAAAGAGAAGCCTGAAATCTAAACAAATTTTGAGGTGAAATCTTTCAGTTGTTAAACATTGGCAACTAATCTTGATATTTAAAAATCACTATATAGATCAAAGCAAACTCATCTAGTTTCAAAATCAGTACTCTGGTGGGGTCATAGCCCCAAAACAAATAGATTACATATGAAAAATGATTTAAATAAATTAACACACATCAGATTTTGAAAGGTTTGAGAGTGTTTCAGATGTTATCAGCTTTCAGATCAGCATTCCTCTATTCAACAAATACTTATTGAATTCCTACTGCATACCAAACAATGTGCTAGAAGCCAGGGAATCACAGATGGAAAACACTCTTGGATCTGACCTTTTAGTGGAAGGCACACAAATAATGATACAATATAACTGCCAAAAGGAAATCTGTCCAAAAGGAGTCCGACTGGATAAGATGATGTTTGATAATGAAAGGAAGCCTTGTTTGCAACAAAAAAAGTTTAGATTTTATTCTATAGAGATATGGAGCCATTGGAGAATTTTGAATAGGCTAGTTCCATCAAATTAGCGTTGGAAAGATCATTGTAATTCTGGGTTGGGTAGATCATGAGTCTGACCAAATATGGAGCATTCATTATTGTAAGTTTTTGTCATATACCATCACTCAGCCAAAATTTGTCTCATATTTTGAAGAATAATTGTAAAACTCTTAAAAACTCCAGTCTTAATTTTTAAATTGATTTTTCAAAGATTTCTAATTTCCATTAACCTTTAAAAAGTCATATAATGGGCCAGGTGTGGTGGCTTACACCTGTAATTCCAGCACTTTGGGAGGCCGAAGCAGGTGGATCATTTGAGGTCAGGAGTTTGAGACCAGCCTGGCCAATATGGCGAAACGCCGTCTTTACTAAAAATATAAAAATTAGCTGGCTGTGGTGTTGCACACTTATAGTCCCAGCAACTCAGGAGGCTGAGGCAGGAGAATTGCTTGAACTCGGGAGGTGGAGGTTGCAGTGAGCTGAGATCATGCCACTGCACTCCAGTCTGGGTGACAGAGTGAGACTCCTTCTTAAGGAGAAAAAAAAAAAAAAAGAAAAGTCATATAATGAAAATTTGGTACTTGGGATGTTTAATTTCTTATATTTCTTATGGTGGTTTTATTAAGAAGATGGAATCCAGCTGGGCGAGGTGGCTCACATCTGTAATTCCAGCATTTTGGGAGGCCGAGGTGGGCGGATCATGAGGTCAGGAGGTCAAAACCATCTGGCCAACATGGTGAAACCCTGTCTCTACTAAAAATACAAAAATTAGCTGGATGTGGTTGTGCATGCCTGTTATCCTAGCTACTCGGGAGGCTGAGGCAGGAGATTTCACTTGAACCAGGGAGTCGGAGGTTGCAGTGAGCCAAGATTGCGCCATAGCACTCCAGCCTGGCCACAGAGTGAGACTCTATCTCAAAATAATAATAATAATAATAATAATAATAATAATAATAATAATAATAAAAAGAAGATGGAATCCTAATGCAATGTGTTTGTTTTTGTGGCTTGTGCTGGAGTGACAAGAAAAGTTCCTTTTGTTTTTGTATAACAGACTCTATTACTAAATTGGAGAGTCATAAGATGACTTTTGAAAAAGCTGTTTACAGATCAGATTTATAGATATTCTGGGCAAATTAGCCTTTGGTGTGACTTTTGTTAACTTGAAAGAACTTTCAGGCCAGGTGTGGTGGCTCATGCCTATAATTCTAGCACTTTGGGAGGCCAGTGCAGGAGGATTACTTGAGCCCAGGAGTTCAAGACCAACCTGGGAAACATGGCGAATCTGTCTCTACAAAAAATAAAAAAATTAGCCAGGCATGGTAGTATGTGCCTGTGTCCTAGCTACTCAGGAAGCTGAGGTGGGAGGATCGCTGGAGCCCCAGAAGTTGAGGCTGCAGTGAGCCGAGATTACACCACTGCACTCCAATCTGGGCTACAGAGCAAGATCCTGACTCAAAGAAAAGAAAAGGAAAGAAAAAGAAAAGGAAAGGAAAAAACTGGGGAAAATGGGGTAAGGTTAATATTTTTTTCCTGTATATGTTCACAATATAGATTTGGTATGTTCAGTCAAGTAATACTTAAAATAGTAATGCAGTAAAACTGGATAGATTCTAATGCAGTAATTAAAATTGCCAATTAGAAATAAAATGTGAATTGATGAGTTCATTCAAAATTGCTTAGAGTTAGATAAATTGACGTTGAAGATGAAGATATTCATGGGGGGGGAAAAAGAGAGACTATATCGATCTGACAGAAGAAGATGTATAAAGCTCTTTGAGTGGAGCTTGAATGCAGTAGTAAAATCGAATCTTGAGACTATAATCATAAATGGAAACAATCTACTGAGCTTTGGGTAAATGCGTTAAACAAAAATTTGGTATGTGTAGAATTTGAAAGCGTTGCTGCTAGCCTGCTTGGATCAGGTTGCCTCTTCAGCACTGGATCTGTTGTTTTACAGAAGAAACTGCTTTTCAGACACCAAAATCTAGCCAGATGCCTCGGCCTTCAGTGCCACCATTAGTTAAAACATCACTGTTTTCTTCAAAATTATCTACACCTGATGTTGTGAGCCCATTTGGGACCCCATTTGGCTCTAGTGTAATGAATCGGATGGCTGGAATTTTTGATGTAAACACCTGCTATGGGTCACCGCAAAGTCCTCAGCTAATAAGAAGGGGGCCAAGATTGTGGACATCAGCTTCTGGTGAGAATTATATATTTTTTAAGATTTTAAATGTCATGTTGCAGAGGATCAGACAGCCTAAGTTCTTATCTTGCCTTTTCTTTTTTAAAAATAGATCAGCAAATGACTGAATTTTCTAATCCTTCTCCATCTACCTCTATTAGTGCTGAGGGTAAGACAATGAGACAACCCAGTGTGATTTATTCATGGATTCAGAATAAACGTGAACAGGTAGGATGATATGGTTATAGGATTTATATTTGCATGTAAAATTGAGAACATTAAGGATCTCACATGAGTAAGTCATCAGGAATAAGAAGCTTTTTTTTTTTTTTTTTTATGCTTCGTGTATTGACTCAAATGAAACAGCCAATATTTGACTGGTTTGAGCTATACACATTGTAATTTCATATGACTTGACCTGATAACTTCATGTAAGAAATATTTGAGTTCTTTATATATCCAAGGTGTGCTTTTAGGCACTGGGAAAAAAGCAAACAAAACAGAGTCCTTGCCCATGTAATATTTACATTCGAGTGAGGGGAAATCAGTGAGTAAGCAAATGTATTATATTCTGTTTCTCTGAAATATAAAATATCATTAATTATAAGACTTATGTGCTATTAAGAAAAAAGATGCCTTAACCCATGACGTGCTATT